>NC_000012.12:125587640-125889263 GCF_000001405.40 Homo sapiens | reverse complement strand
TGAAGTAATGTTTGCATGAGAAATACTTTGACACTCATGTAAATCAAGGAAAGCATGCCTCTGTTCTTGGTTTTGGTTCACTACTTAAATTACTCTAAAATTATGTTTACAGGCTCCATCTCAATTTTCTCAAGCCATAATGTGAGGAGAGGAAAAAATCTACATGCTTGGGATTTTCTTGAAGGAAACCACAAGATCCCTGATGCCTCAGTAAACATGCAGACCTGGTAGTCTGCCTAAGCATAGGATTTTAATTCTAAACACCTAATTTTCTCCAGGCCTTTCCCACCCCACATGGACCAGACATTAACACATAGTAATTTATTTAAAACAATATCTACTCACTGCTATCTCTGGGTCAACCCTTGTTCTAAGCTCTGGGATTGCAGGGATAAATTAGCTAGATTCTTCCCTAAAGGAACGAAGGGTTAGAATGAAAAAAATACAAATAAGTAATAGTGGCCCTCAACCTTCTTTGGGGTAGGGCAAAAGGCAGCTGCAAAAGCTCTTTAGAGTCAGTAGGGGCATAGCTGAGTCCTTTTAGTGCACAGAATGTTAAACAGCGATCACAAACGGGGATAAATGGGTGAAGGGAATTCCAGAAAAGAAAGCTAATAATGGTTTAGAGAACCTGGATGTCAGACTAACCTGGATTCACATCCTACCAACACCACACATTAGCTGTATAACCAAGGAAAGGTCTTTACCATTCAACAGCTGCCAGATATAAGGTTAATGTACAAAATTCAATCACTTTCCTATATACCAGCAAAGGACAAGAGAAACTTAAAAACACAATACCATTTACATTAGCATCCCCAAAACTGAAATACTTAACTATAAATCTAACAATGTATGCACAAGATTTACATAAGAAAAACTACAAAATTCTGATTTAAAAAATCATATAACTATATAAATGGAGAGATATTCCATGTTCATGAGTAGAAAGATTCAATACTGTCAAGACGTTGGTTATTTTCAGTTAGACCTCTAGATTCAACACAATTCAAATCAAAATCCCAACAAGTTATTTTGTGGATATTGACAAACTTATGCTAAGGTTTATATGGAGAGACAAAAGACCTAGAATAGCCAACATAATAAAAGATAAATAAAAAAAGAAGAGCAAAGTCAGAGGACCGACACTACCCAACTTCAAGATTTACCATAAAGCTACAGTAATCAAAACAGTATAGCACTGTTAAAAGAATAGACAAGAGATGAATGGAATAGGTGAAAGAGCATGAATATAGACCCATGTAGATATAGTCAATCTTTGAAAAGGAGCAAAGGTGGGCTGGGCCCAGTGGCTCACTCCTGTAATCCCAGCACTTTGGGAGGCCGAGGCGGGTGAATCACAAGGTCAGGAGATTGATACCATCCTGGCTAACACGGTGAAACCCCATCTCTACTAAACATACAAAAAAATTAGCCGGGCATGGTGGCGGGCGCCGTCCCAGCTACTCAGGAGGCTGAGGCAGGAGAATGGTGTGAACCCAGGAGGCGAAGCTTGCAGTGAGCTGAGATCATGCCACTGCACTCCAGCCTGGGTGACACAGCCAGACTCCGTTTCAAAAAAAAAAAAAAAGGAGCAAAGGCAGTACGATGGGGAAAAGATGAAAATCTTTTCAATAAATGGTGCTGGAATAACAGGATATGCATATTTTTAAAGGTCGACCAACAGGCCTTATACCCTTTATAAAAATTAACTCAAAATGGATTATAAACCTAAATATAAAATGAGAAACTATAAAACTACTAGGAGAGAACAGCAAAAAATTCTAGACTACCTTGGGCACGGTGATGACTTTTTAGATACAACACCATAGGCATGATTCATGAAAGAAACAATTGATAAACTGGACTTCATTAAAATTTAAATCTTCTGCTCTACAAAAGGCACTGCCGGTAGAATGAGAATAAAAGGTATAGCCTGGGAGAAAATATTTGAAAAAATATGTATACCTAATAAAACACTGTTACTCAAAACAGACAGCTCAAAATTCAACAATAAGAAAAGGAACAATCCAATTAAAAATTGGGCAAAAGACCAGAAAAGATGCCTCATCAAAGAACATATACAGATGGCAAATAAGCGTATGAAAAGATGCTCCACATCACATGGCATTAGGAAATTAAAATATCGATGAGATATCACCATACACCAATTAAAATGGCCCAAATCCAGAACACTGACACCACCAAATGCTGGTGAGCATGTGGAGCAACAGGAACACCAGCGTGTCATTTATTGCTGGTGACACATAATGGTGCAGCCACCCTGGAGGACAGTTTGACAGTTTCTTACAAAACCAAACATAGTCTTATCACAAAATCCAGCAATCATGTTCCTTGGTTTTTACCCAAATGAGTTCAAAACTTAAGCCCACCCAAAATCCCATACACAGATATTTATAGAAACACAATTTCCAAAACATGAAAGGTAAATGGATAAATAAACAATGTTATATTTAGACAATGAAATTTTATTCAGCGATAAAAAGAAATGAACTATCACGCCATGGAAGGACATGGAGGAAACTTAAATGCATATTAGTAAGTGAAAGAAGCTGGCCGGTCGCAGTGGCTCACGCCTGTAATCCCAGCACTTTTGGGAGGCCGAGGCGGGTGGATCACGAAGTCAGGAGATTGAGACCATCCTGGCTAACACGGTGAAACCCCGTCTCTACTAAAAACACCAAAAAAAAAATTAGCCGGGCATGGTGGCGGGCGCCGGTAGTCCCAGCTACTCAGGAGGCTGAGGCAGGAGAACGGCCTGAACCTGGGAGGCAGAGCTTGCAGTGAGCCGAGATCTCACCACTGCACTCTAGCCTGGGAGACAGAGCGAGACTCCATCTCAAAAAAAAAAAAAAAGAAAGAAAGAAGCCAATCTGAAAATGCCACATACTGTATGATTTCAACCCTATGACATCCTGGAGAAGACAAAACTATGGAAATAGTAAAATGATCAGTGATTTCTAGGAGTTGAGGGGAGGGAGGGATGACTAGGTGAAGCACAAAGGACTTTTAGGGCACTGAAACTATAGTATTGTAGACTCCACATATACTGTATGTATAGTATCATACCGTATTATATTCTATAAGACACTATAATGGTAGCTACATGTCATTATACATTTGTCAAAACCCATAGAATGTACAACATGGAGAGTTAATCTTTTTTTTTTTTTTTTTTTTTTTTTCTGAGAATCTTGCTCTGTCACCTGGGCTGGAGGGCAGTGGTGCAATCTTGGCTCACTGCAACCTCCGCCTCCTGGGTTCAAGCAATTCTCCTGCCTCAGCCTCCCAAGTAGCTGGGTCTACAGGCGTGCACCACCACGCCCAGCTAATTTTTGTATTTTTAGTAGAGATGGGGTTTCACCATGTTGGTTGGCCAGGATGGTTTCGATCTCTTGACCTCGTGATCCACCTGCCTCGGCCTCCCAAAGTGCTGGGATTACAGGCCTGAGCCACCATGCCTAGCCCGAAGAGTTAATCTTAATGTAAACTGTGGACTTTGGGTGACAATAACATGTAAATGTTGGTTCATTAGTTGTAACAAACCTACAGCACTGGCGGGGAATGCTGTGTATGTTTGGGGGCAGGGAGTATATGGGGGAATGCTGAGTATGTTTGGGGGCAGGGAGTATATGGGACATCTCTGTATTTTCTGTTCAATTTTGCTGTAAAGTTAAAATAGTCCTGAAAATTAAAATCTGTTTAAAAGGGGGGGAAAGACATTTGGAAAATTCAAGACATAATTAAAATGCTCAACTTGTGGTGATAAAATTTTCTGCATCTTGACTGTATTAATTTTAATACACTGGTTGCAATTTTATACTATAATTTACTTTACTCTGTCCCAAATCTCCACTCATAGAAAACTTACCTGATCACCTTTTTTAAAATAATAGCCTCCTCCACAGTATCCTTATTGTTCTTTTTTTATAGCACTTATTACAATAAAAGATTGCATTCTACATTCACTTGATTCTGTGTTTATTGTCTTCTTTCACTTCATAATGTAGGCTCCACCAGAAAACAGACCCAGTCTTTGCAGCTGGTAGCTGCTCAATACCTATGTAGTGAGTAAACACATGAGTGCACAGATTTACTTACAATGACAATAATGATGATGACGGTAATGATAATAATGGTGACAGGAAGCTGAGGAAGGAGGATTGCTTGAGCCCAGGATTCAAGATTGTAGTGCGCTGTGATCAAGCCACTGTACTCCAGCCTAGGTGACAGGGTAAACCTTGTCTCTAAAACAACAACAAAAAATGATGATGGTGATAAGGATGATAACGGTGCTAGGCTGGGCATGATGGTTCACACCTGTAATCCCAGAACTTTGGGAGGCCAAAGTGGGAAAACCACTTGAGTTCAGTAGTTGAAGACCAGCCTGGGCAACATAATGAGACCTCATCTATACCAAAATAAAAATAAAAATAACACAATGGTACTGCTGATAATAGTGATGGTGATAATGGTTGATGATAGTGATGGTCATAATGGTTGTGGTAATGATGGTGATGATGTGGATTATGATGGTGATGGTGATGGTGGTGGTGATGATAATGGTGATGGTGACAATGGTAAGATAATGGTGATGATGGTAATGGCGATGATGGTGATAGTGATGGTAAGATGATGGGGTTGATGATTTACAGTAAGTTTAACTGGGGTAGGTCACATTGCTGTCCATTCTCAAAGTTCAGTCATAGTGTATTAGTCTGTTCTTACATTGCTATTAATACCCAAGACTGGGTAATTTATAAAGAAAAGAGGTTTAATTGGCACGTAGTTCCACATGGCTGGGGAAGCCTCAGGAAACTTACAATCATGGTGGAAGGGACCTCTTCCCAGGGTGGCAGGAGAGAGAATGAGTGCCAGCTGGGGAAATGCCAGACACTTATAAAACCATCACTCACTATCACGAAAACAGCATGGGGGAAAACACCCCCATGATTCAATTACCTCCCATCAGGTCCCTCCCACAATATGTGGGGATTATGGGATTACAATTCAAGATGAGATTTGGGTGGGGACACAAAGCCAAACCATATCATAGGGCTGCTGCTTTGCCTTCTATACTACTAATCTTTAAGGAACCGAGAATTTCAACTTTTGGGGGGTGCTGTGGCTTAGACTTATCCTGAGCAGTTGAAATTGAATTTTGCATTGGAACTAGCAAAGTGTAAGGGTACAGGCCTGATCATCCACAGACACTAGTGGACACATGAGGAAGGCCTCACCCAACAATGAGAAAAATAATCACCTATGCTTCTCAGTCAGGGTAACATGGTGCTGCATTGCTGAGGTGCTGAGCTAACTGTTGTTGCAAACACTTTGAAACATATATAGTAACTATAATACAAAGAAATATATTTATCATTTCATGTAGAATCAGAATAGGTGTTTTTGTTCAGTGAGTTCTCTCTTCCAAGTACTGAATCAGGGAGCTGATGCAGTCTCCTTCCAGCTTAAAGCTCCACATCTTCAATAAGTAGCTTCAAGTGTGCTGTGCTCAGCTGAGACAAACAGTGCAAGGAGTAGCAGCACAGGATTGCACGTGAGAGTTTTTAAAAGCTGCAACTGGATGTCACACACTTTAATTCTGCTCTCATTGCATTGGCTAATACTCAGATGCCCAGCCACAACTAACTGGTTAGGGAGGCTGGGAAATGTCACCTAGCTATGTGTTCAGGAAGGAGGGGATGCAGGTTTGGGGAACCACTCACCAAATAGTCTCAGCCACAGATGTGTGCCCCATTGAATGGCAAGGGGCGGTCTCTGGTCTTCATAGAGTATCTCAGCTTTTGCTCAGGATGGACTCTGCTTCTCTCCATAATCTTCCCATTTAACCCTCATAAAACTCTAAGGCAAAACCCCATGTATAATCCTCATTTTAAATATTGACCTGAGACTTAGAGACACGAAGGAATATGCCCAAGTTTGCCAAGATAGAAACTGGCAATAGGAGGACAAAAATCTCACTCCAAAGCCTAGACTATTTAAGATTATGTTATATGACTATTAAACCAGTCATGATTCTTCTTTATTCCAAGAGTTTGTGAGGAAGTTATCTGCGTCATCCTAAACGTGGGAACATCTATTATTCCTTGGTACATTTTTCCTATGTGCTGTGCCTTTCCAAGTCCCAACCCAACATAGATCACGTCTTCTGGATTTTGGATCTGGTTTCAATCTCCTTCATAACCTACTAATTATCTACAGAGATTGGCAGTAGTCAGTATTTTATTAAGAATGTTTGGGAAAATCTCAGTTCATACATATTGTAAGCTGGAAAGTACATTTAGAAAGCCATATCTAATCTGAACTGAATTTTTGATGCATACAACCCTCCTTTTCAAAACTCACTCAGCCATCCTGAAAATTTTCCCTCCTATAAGGGACATATTATTGGCTTCTCAGACCACCTTGCCTTCTATGTTCAGGAAAGTCTTTTCCCTTTCAACCTGTTTTTTATGTCCTTCATAATCTTTTCATAATTTTCTGTTTTCAGAAGATGAGAAACATACTAGTATTTGGATTTTCTATAAGAGGATATCAATAAAAGAATAAAAGGATAGCTTATGAGGGTGAAAAGTAGGAAGGAAGGTATGAAAGGGAATAAATTGCCCTCAATCAGGAAGACATAATGTATTTCTAGTCTTAGTCTAGGCAAATCTAATAATGTGACCTTAAATAAATCTCCTCTTTCTAAGGCTGCTTCCAAACCACATAAGTATAAATTCCATGTTCCTCAGCAGTGCATCGCTGGTTGTGATATGTCCACCTGTTAAAGCCTTGTCATTGACCTCTTCATCTCTCACCTCCTCCTTCTGGACAGTTTGTCCTCAGGCAACTGAACAGCAGGGATGAGGCAAAGCTATTGAGGTAGCTGTTGCCATGGTTTCCAGCAAACCAGACTCACTTGTGTGCTTGGCAGGAGAATGAGCTCCACTGCAGATGCCCGGTCGAGAATGCACCACAGAGGAATTGAGTTGCATTATCTCTGACTTCCCAGTGAACTGAAGAATGCTAGGAACCTAGCAGCCATCATTCAATATGTGAGCTAAACTGAAAGACATAAACCAGTTGTTTCTAAAATATCCTTTGGTTCTAATATTTTGTTTAATTTACTGCATAAAAGACCAAAACCTTCGTATATTAGGCTGTACTTAGTGTATTTGTCTGTCCTTGCATTGCTATAAGGAAACTCCTGAGACTGGGTGATTTATAAAGAAAATAAGTTTATCTGGCTCCTGGCTCTGCAGACTGCACTGGAACCAGCATGGTGCCAGGATCTGCTTCTGGGGAGGACTCAGGAAGGCCTTTGCCTTCATGGTGGAAGGCAAAGGGGGAGGAGGCAGCTCTCATGGTGAGAGTGGGAGCAAGAGAGTGAAGGGAGAGGTGCCCCACACTTTCAAACAAACAGACCTCACATGAACTCAAAATGAGAACTCAGCACCAAGAGGATGGCACTAAGCCATTCACAAGAGATCCATTCTCATGGTCCCAACACCTCCCACCAGGCCCCACCTCCAACACTGAGGATTACATTTCAACTTGAGATTTGGAGCAGAGAAACATCCAAACCATATCACTTAGTATGCTTGATTTAAAATAGAATATCAGACTTCTGGTTCCAGTTCAACTCATAGTGCAGTCACCATTGGAAAATTTATTGTAAGATTAATTAAATCTTCTTACTCCATGTGAACATAATTTATCACCACTAACCCAAGGAGCCCAGTTTTCTCTTGGAGCTGTGTGTAACGCCACTCAGAAGGTGTAAAGACTTTTTAGGGTCTGGGAACGTACAGACCTCCTAAGTCCATGGCATCTTCTGGCTCAAGCACAGATATCCTATTCTAGGATGCCTCTAACTGAAAATTGTCATGCCTGCATTGGCTCTGAGAAGTTTTAGGGAACGGGGAAGTCTGTATTCATCAGGATACCTTACAACAGAGACAAATCCCCAAATCTCAGAAGCTTAATACATTTTATTGAAATGTAGGTAAGCATGATGTGGGTCGGTCATCTCTCGTGTGTCTTACAGCTGCATCATCTGGAGCATGTAGCCTCAAAGAACATTGAAGCAGGATGAGGAACTTAAGGAGAGGCCCCATCAGCTCTTAACTACTCCAGCCCAGAAGTGATGCATATTACTTGCATTTACAGCTCATTAGCCAGAATTGGTCACATGACCTCAACATTACTGCAAGGAAAGCTGGGAAATTTAAGGGAAGAACATGAGACATTTGATCTGTACAAATTCCTCTGCTACACACCCCCAGATGTTTTGGGTCTCATTGAAATGCATTCTTTTTTAAAAAAAAAAAAACTTTTTATTTCCATAGATTTTGGGGGAACAGGTGGTATTTGGTTACATGAGTAAGTTATTTAGTGGTGATTTGTGAGATTTTCGTGCACCCATCACCAGGGCAGTATACACTGAATCCAATTTGTAGTCTTTTATCCCTCTCACCCCTTTCACCCTTTCCCCAATTTCTCAAAGTCCATTGTATCGTTCTTGTGCCTTTCCATCCTCATAGGTTAGCTCCCATTTCTCAGTTGGAACAGTCAATGTCTGGAGAGGACCTTTCTTCTTTCCATTAGGAACTGTACTTCTCAGTCTTCCAGTTTGTTCTGTTTGGGCTTCACATTATCCTGTTGTATTAGTTATTCTGAGCAGAGTAAAGCAAGAAAGCACACATGAAAAGAATAGTTTCAGAGAATGCAATGGATCAACCTTATTCTTCCTTCTAATAGCTTACTTTTACGCCTATTGCCTGGAGCTGTTCTTCTAATGAGACTTTAATAACTGCTGCAACTGAAAGTTCAGAGTTGGTGCCTCTAACTGCTTCCTGAATTTCCTAGAAGAAAGCTAATTAATCTGTGGGTTTTCCTGACCTCACCTTGTCTTTTGTTTTATTCCAATAATTAGTATCTCATTAGTGCATTTGGGCTTTCCTCACCTGGCTTTTGGTTCTTGTGCCATTCTGTGTCAGATATAAGATACACTCTGCCCCCAAACAGCTCAATAGTTGAGTTCACGAAGTGATGAAGACTTTTCTAGATCTTAATTATCCCTCAGAGAGGAGCCTAACTGCTGATTCAAGATCCCTAGTAGCTCCAAGGAGTCTTGTTTCTCCCCTGATAGCAGCAAAGTGAGGTTTGCTTACTCCAGTGGGTATTGGGAAGGACCAGTGTTAGAATGAAGAGTTTCACAGTTTCCCACACTTCGATGGTGCATGTGGTTTAAATGGTAGATACCCAGGAAGAGTAGGGCAAATTGTGTTATCCCATTTCTAACTTATCTATTCCAGACATTTCAAGTTGTCTTCAGATTGTGTTTTCCTTTTTTTTATTTTATTTTTTTGGCTAGAAAAAAATGACTTCTGTTGTTTTTACATAACTACAGAAACTTAAAGGAAAAAACACTCTCCCTTTCCTTGCACTTAAAAAAAAATGCTTATGAGGAGACAGTATCTCTCAAGCTGTTTGCATGGATGGGATTTTTTGCTCTTGAGCTCTATTTTTTTTTTTTTTTTTTTTTGAGACGGTGTCCCCAGGCTGGAGTGCAAAGGCACAATCTTGGCTCACTGCAACCTCCACCTCCTGGGTTCAAGCGATTCTCCTGAGTCAGCCTCCCAAGTAGCTGGGATTACAGGCATGTGACACCACACCTGGCTACTTTTTGTATTTTTAGTAGAGACAGGGTTTCATCATGTTGGCCAGGCTGGTCTTGAACTCCTGACCTCAGGTGATCGGCCCACCTCGGTCCCCCAAAGTGCTGGGATTACAGGCGTGAGCCACTGCGCCTGGCCTGGGCTCTCATTTTTTTTAATTTAAGTGTTATTTTAAGTTCAGAGGTACGTGTGCAGGTTTCCTACAAAGGTGCGCTTGTGTTTTGGCGTTTGTTGTACAGATTATTTCAACACTATTAAGCCTAGTGCCCATTAGTTATTTTTCCTAATCCTCTCACTCCTCCCACCCTCCACCCTCCAATAGGCCCCACTGTCTGTCGTTCCCCTCTATGTGGGTCCATGTGTTCTCATCAATTAGCTCCCACTTATAAGTGAGAACATGCAGGATTTGGTTTTCTGTTGCTGTGATAGTTTGCTAAGGATTGTGTTTTCAACTGCTTAGAATTCAGTTACTTTATTTTATAACAATTTGTAATTTCACACACACAATCTGAGTGTAAGAAGCATGTCTGCTTTATTCAGTGTGTTGATTCTGCACCTGTAAAGAAAATGGTATTAAGCACACACAAGGCAGGGCTAGTTTGAGCAGTAAAGATATAGTTTGCCACTTTTAAATGCAGACAGTTTATTTCTTACATAGAGAAAGAAAGAGCAGCCAAAGGTGCTTGCTCCCCATGGTTCTTGTCACACACCTCAAAAAGAACACCAAAGCTGCAATGTGAATTGTGGGATCCACCACTGCCAAAGAGCCAGGTCTAGATGGCAGCTAGGCGAGTTTGTAGTCTTATCACATCTGTTCTGAGTGTGACAGGGAGAAAAGCCTCATGCCTTATCAGAAACCAGGAGATGATGGATTCTGGCAGCCTCTACTGGAGACAGAGACGTTAGTGGGAGATTTTGTTTGTTTGTTTTTAAACAGGAGGATTAGAAGGCTTTCTGCTGAGACTCAGCTTTGCTGGGGTTCAAGCCTTGCCTGCAGAGACTATGTGGACATGAGCAAGGCACCGTGGCAGAGCTGTTAACCTACAACTGGCTCCCAGAGAGTGCTCGATAAATATTTGTTGAATAAATGTGAACACGTATGCATGAAGACCCCGGTGAGAAGATAGGGAAAAGTTTTGTTGTTTTTAACCTTGTAACTTTTATTCTGAATGTTCATTGCGGAGTTATATGGAAAAGGCAGTGTCCTCCCAGTGATGCTCAGTGGGGCTTGGAGACATGTCTGTGTATCTTTCAGACACAACCTAACATGAAACATGTCTGTCGGGCTGTATGAGTGTTCCTTTCTTCAAAGGAACATTATACGCATGCTATTCACAACTTAACCAATTATTGACAGTCACTCACACTGCCGAGAGACAGTAAGTGAGGGAGTAATTAAAGAGGGTTCCTTCTGAAATCAGTCAAGTGAGGTTCATACCCCTATTCTTCTCCATCCTAGTTAGCTGTGTTAATGATGGCCAATTAAAGCTCCCCGTGCCCTACGCTAATCATTTTACAAAAAAGGGATAATAATACCCATCTTTCATAGGGCTGGTTATGATTAGATGAGATAATACATGCAAATAACTGTCTCCTTTTGAGAAGTGGCTGTTCATATCCTTTGCCCACTTTTTGATGGGGTTGTTTGTTTTTTTTCTTGCAAATTTGTTTGAGTTCTTTGTAGATTCTGGATATTAGCCCTTTGTCAGATGACTAGATTGCAAAAATTTTCTCCCATTCTGTAGGTTGCTGTTCACTTTGATGGCAGTTTCTTTTGCTGTGCAGAAGCTCTTTAGTTTAATTAGATCCCATTTGTTAATTTTGGCTTTTGTTGCCATGGTTTTTGGTGTTTTAGACATGAAGTCCTTGCCCATGCCTAAGTCCCGAATGGTATTGTCTAGGTTTTCTTCTAGGGTTTTTATGGTTTTAGGTCTAACATTTAAGTCTTTAATCCACCTCGAATTAATTTTAGTATAAGGTGTAAGGAAGGGATCCAGTTTCAGCTTTCTACATATGGCTAGCCAGTTTTCCCAGCACCATTTGTTAAATAGGGAATCCTTTCCCCATTTCTTGTTTTTGTCAGGTTTGTCAAAGATCCGATAGTTGTAGCCAACAGACAAATGAAAAAATGCTCATCATCACTGGCCATCAGAGAAATGCAAATCAAAACCACAATGAGATATCATCTCACACCAGTTAGAATGGTGATCATTAAAATGTCAGGAAACAACAGGTGCTGGAGAGGATGTGGAGAAATAGGAACACTTTTACACTACTGGTGGGACTGTAAACTAGTTCAACCATTGTGGAAGACAGTGTGGTGATTCCTCAGGGATCTAGAGCTAGAAATACCATTTGATCCAGCCATCTCATTATTGGGTATATACCCAAAGGAATATAAATCATGCTGCTATAAAGACACATGCACACATATGTTTATTGTGGCACTACTCACAATAGCAAAGACTTGGAACCAACCCAAATGTCCAACAACGATAGACTGGATTAAGAAAATGTGGCACATATACACCATGAAATGCTATGCAGCCATAAAAAATGATGAGTTCATGTCCTTTGTGGGGACATGGATGAAGCTGGAAACCATCATTCTCAACAAACTATCGCAAGGACAAAAAAACCAAACCGCATGTTCTCATTCATAGGTGGGAACTGAACAATGAGAACACTTGGACACAGGCAGGGGAACATCACACACTGGGGCCTGTTGTGGGGTGGGGGGAGGTGGGAGGGATAACCTTAGGAGATACACCTAATGTAAATGACGAGTTAATGGGTGCAACACACCAACATGACACATGTATACATATGTAACAAACCTGCACATTGTGCACATGTACCCTAGAACTTAAAGTATAATAAAATATATATATATATTTTAAAATACATGCAAATAACTCAGAACAAAGCCTGTATACATTATGGGCTCAAATACAACTATTATTGCTGTTACTGTTATTAAGTTTTTGAACCCAACTCTTTCTAACCCTTTTGTAGAGGGTGTGTTGAATAGAGATCTATCAAAGCCACTTCTAAGGTTCTACCCAACCTGGCGATCTGTAAATTTTTATTTTTTTTAACTTTTATTCTAAATTCAGGGGTACATGTGTAGGTTTGTTACACTGGTAAACTTGTATCATGGGTGTTTGTTGTACAGATTATTTCATCACCCAGGTGTTAAGACTAGTACCCATTAGTTATTTTTCCTGATCCTCTCCCTCCTCCCACCCTCCACCCTCTGAAAGACCCCAGTGTGTGTTGTTCTCCTCTATGTGTCCATGTGTTCCCATCATTCAGCTCCCACTTACAAGTGAGAACAGACAGTATTTGGTTTTCTGTTCCTGAAATAGTTTGCTAAGGATAATCCTAAGTGTAATAATTCTGGGATTAGTGGTACATATGCCAAAAACCAACTATTAAAATATACAAAAGAGAAGAAGAGCAAGTTGCATTTTTAAAGTTATTGAGATAATTTTAAAACCTCGTGTTTTCTAAAAATATTTAATAACATGGGGAGATGCTTAAAATATGCCAAGTTTGAAAAGCAGAATGAGTCTAATTATTAAAACCTCAGAAAAATAAAATCCATTTCTAAAAGTTCATGAACATTATTTATGAATATATGTATTTCTTTCTTTCTTTTATGCCTAAACTAAGCACTAACAGTAAATAAATCAAAATACTAATCATGGTTATTTCTATTGGGAGTAGAGGTAATATTTCTTTTCTTCCTTTTGTTTTTCTTTAGTGTCTTTTTTATTCCTATAATAAGCAATAGGCTTTTATAATTATGATGCCTTCAGGGGCGGGCCTGGTGGCTCACGCCTGTAATCCAGCACTTTCGGAGGCCGAGGCTGGTGGATCACGAAGTCAAGAGTTCGAGACCAGCCTTGTCAACATGGTGAAACCCTGTCTCTATTAAAAATACAAAAATTTGCCAGGCGTGGTGGCACAGGCCTGTAATCCCAGCTACTCAGGAGGCTGAGGCAGGAGAATTGCTTGAACCCAGGAGGCGAAGGTTGCAGTGAGCTGGGATTGCGCCACTGCACTCCAGCCTGGGTGACAGAGCGAGACTCCATCTCAAAAAAATAAAAAATAAAATAATTAGGTTGCCTTCAATAGCAAATAAAATTTCTTGACCCAGTGATATCTGACTATGCAGAAATGTAACTGGCACTTTCAATTGGCCGTCTGCATGTCAGCCACAGTATAGACCTGTGCTAGGACACTTTTCATGCAACACAAGTGGCATGACAGGATATTCAGGATTTGGATGCAATAGGACATATTCTTATTCCTAAGGTGCCACAGACAAAATTAACACATTCCCAATTTATTTTTCTTCCCACTTAATTTTAGAGCAGAACATCAGGCCTAATTTATCAGAATCTTTTTTATTACTGATTAGCAAGGCATCGGATGATGATGAAAGGGGATAATATCACATTTGCACTCACTTCATGAGCAATGGCTCTATTTCGCTGATGGAGCATTTCCTTTCTTTCCTCATCAAATGCAGCTCAAAGGTTTGTCTCTGTAATGCACAGATGCCAGATGCTCTCCCTAATTAGTATCTCATGCTCCACAGTGACAGTCCCCAAACTTTGTCCATCATTTGCCAACATGAGGGCCTGGATTCCTTTCTCCATCCCAAGTTCCATAGCAGCCTCTTTTGCTGACCTTACAGCTGCTGGCTTTGTGGACTATTATTTGTGGGAGGCTATTTTCAGTGTCTTCTATTGAATATAGGGTTGGTGTGGTCATAGGTGATCACAAACTGCAGCTACATGGGTGGCAGGGTCCAGGGACCCTGAGAATCAACCCTGGAAATGCCCCCTCTTGCTCCAGTTTCTCACTGCAGCCCCTCCATTTTGAGCAATCAGTCATCATTGGTAACAGTCTCACCTGCCAGGACAGGGGAAGAGTCAGATACGGAGAGTCTTCTCTGGGGAGCAACTGACCATCCTTGGTGGATAGACCATTTAAACAAGTATGACAGTCACCAGGACATTTCACACATATTTTGTCTTCTGAGCCTAAGCCCATTGTCATGGACTGAATCTTTGTATTCCCCAAAATTCATATATTGGTGACTTAACCCCAGTGTGATGGTATTTGGAGACAGGGCCTTTATGGAGGTACTTATGTTCATAAACATTCATGAGGGTGGAACCCTTTTAATGGCATTAGTGCCCTTATAAGAAGAGGCACCAGAGAGCTTGCTCCTTCTCTCACTGTCTCTCCACCATGTGAGGACACAGTGCGAAGGCATACATCTGCATGCCAGGAAGCAGGCCCACACCTGGAACTGAATCAGCGGAACCTTGATCTTAGACTTCTCAGCCCCCAGAACTGTGAGACATAAATGTCTTAGTTCTTTAAGGCTAATATAACAAAGTAACACAAAATGAATAACCATCCACTATATGGTATTTTGTTATAGCAGCCTAAGCTAAGACACCCACCAGCCTGAAGGTAAGTGTGGTCATATGATTTGCTATATAGCCTGTGAAATGCGAGCACAAGCAGCATCTCACCTGTGGGAGGGAGCATTTACAGACAGGCAGTGCTCCACCACGTTCCCTCTTCTACCTTGTCACAATGACTGGCTGTATTAGTCCATCTTCACACTGCTGATAAAGACATACCCAAGACTGGGTCATTTATAAAGGAAAGAGGTTTAATTCACTCTCGGGTCCACATGGCTGGGGAGGCCTCACAATCATGGCGAAAGACGAAGGAAGAGCAAAGGGACTTCTCACATGGCAGCAGGCAAAGAGAGAGAACGAAGACCAAGTGAAAAGGGTTTCCCCTTATAAAACTATCAAATCTTGTGAGACTTATTCATGACCACGACACAGTATGGGGGAAACCGCCCCCATAGGTTAATTATCTCCCACTGGGTCCCTCCCACAACACTTGGGAATTACGGGAGCTACAATTCAAGATGAGATTTGGGTGGGGTCACAGCCAAACCATATCACCAGCCATGTCCCCCATGATGGTTCATCCCTCAGCCCAGGACCCAGAGTGAAAGAAAGACAAACAAAAGCCCCATGCTACTTTTCATACATTTTCAAACTAAAATACTTTACATGTATTCCTTTGGATGTATCAAATATTACATAATGAGCATGAAAATTATAAATTATTATGATGCATTGAGGTAGTTGCAGCAGAATGCACGCAGTGATTTCAGAAACTTACTCAGCGCTGCTTCTCCCAGCTAAGGATGATGATGGGTCTAGCATAGTGACTCACTTGTGGCCTTTGGAGTCCCTCTGGCCAACAGTCCCGTTTATTTCATTTAACGTTTACAATAGCCTTCTGTGGCAGGAATTCATATTACCTTCATTTTGCAGACCAGGAAATGAAAATTCAGGGAAATGAAGTCATTGCTCAAGGCCACAATGCCTGTAAGTGGCAGAGCCTGGAATCCCACTCAGATCTTGCTACTGCAGAAGTCAGTGACCTAACCTCTTTACTCTCTCCTCCCTCCACCCAGGGAGCTGAAGTCACTCGAAACACCTTCTGGACATTCAAGTCAGTGACCATCTTTCTTACTTCATTAAGGGTAATATAACAAAGTAACATAAAATGAATAATCTATACACAGCAGAAATTTATTTCTCACAGCTATGGAGATTGGAAAGTCCAGGATCTAAGATGTTTTGTCGGGTTTGAGGGCCTGCTTCCTGGCTTACAGATGGTGTCTTCTCGCTGTGTCCTCACATGGTGGAAGGGGCAAAGCAGCTCTCTAGGCTCTCATTTTTTTCTTTTATTTATTTATTTATTTTTTGAGACAGAGTTTCACTCTTTCTGCCCAGGCTGGAGTACAATGGCGCAATCTTGGCTCACTGCAACCTCTGCCTCCCCGGTTCAAGAGATTCTCCTGCCTCAGCCTCCCAAGTAACTGGGATTACAGGTGTGTGCCACCACGCCCAGCTAATTTTTGTATTTTTAGTAGAGATGGGGTTTCTCCATGTTGGCCAGGATGGTCTCGAACTCCAGACCTCAGGTGATCTGCCCATCTCGGCCTCCCAAAGTGTTGGGATTACAGGCATGAGCCACCGCGCCCGGCCTGGGCCCTCTTTTATAAGCGCACTCATCCCATCCATGCAGGCTCTGTTCTCAAGACCTAATCACCTCCCAGAGGCCCCACCCCCTGACACACTGGGGGTCAGAATTTCAACATATGAATGTTGAAAGGACACAAACATTCAGACCATAGCATCACCCCAGGCTTCAATTTTATCACCTACGGAAGACTAAAGTGTACACAGTCATAAGGCCTGAGTGATTAAGCTCATCTTGGTAATCATGCTGACTTCCTTCTTCACAAACAGACTCTGGTCACAGGAATTCCTGGAACTATTAATATTAGTGGAATTGCTGCCAGAGACAGTGGCACTGAGTGACAGTGCCAAGAGGCTGACCATAGCATATCTGTTTTGTTCCTGGCACACACTCATGGTGTGCCCCATCCAGGGCTCCATGGCCTCCCCCTGAGCCAGGGAGCTCACATCAACTCTTTGAGGGCTCATGGGGCAGCTTGGTAGCAAGGATAAAATACAAGGTCTGGAGACAAGCCCTGGCTGTCTCATGTGCCACCTGTGCAACTGTGACAAGTTACTTAATCTCTTCTGTCCTCATCTGCAAAATGGGGTACCAGTCATACTCACTTCAAATGTTTCTTGAGAGCAGGAACTAAAAGCAACCATTTCGCAGCGCCTGGCACTAGGTACACCTTTATCAATTGATAGTTGGCTTTTCCCGGCATTCAGAAGGTCCACTGTGTGCCTTAGATTCCTCTGGGAAAAGGAACAATTCCATCAACATGAGGCAGCCACTGTGTAAGTTTTAAGCCAGCCTTAAAGCAGAGTCGCAAAGAGACAGAGATCCACTCAGCAAAGCCTTAGAAAGCAATGCAGTTTGTGTAGTTTGTGTGTGTGTACGTGTGTGTGTGCATGTGCGTGTGTAAAAGTTTATATGACAGGATAAAACGTACAATATTTATTCAGTCTCTCTCCTTCTCTCCCATCTTTCCCACTTGGGACAGCTACTAAACACTCTCTCAGCCTCCGTCCCTCCCCTCTGACCTGCTGCCTTGCTGCCTCTGTGCACTTCTTGCTTCACTTCATCCTGTCCCACCCAACACCCCAAGAACCTCTCCCTCCCACCCCAACCTGGATATTCAGCACATCTCTAAATCATGTATCCTAGACCCTCAGTTTTTCTCTGAGACTAACCCACCAGGATACTGACAGAGTGAGTGTCAAGATGAACCCAGAGGTCCAGAATGCATCAGACTCACAGTAAAATTAGACCGCCACTCCAGGACAGGATAAATTCTGAACATAGGACTAAACACTAGGGATCGAGTGATGGCTTTGTTTGTTGTTTTGTTTTCTTTTTGTTGTTGTTTTGCACATTTTCATGTAGCAGGTAGGAATCACTGATCACACTTTCTCAAATGGTCAGGATGAAGAACTATATTTTTTTCATTGCTAAAATTCAAAATCCCTCTCCTGGTTGGGTTGGTGAGATTTTCTGAACTGAAAAAATATATCATTTATTCCAAGAGCAGCAAATAGTCATGAATTCCTCACATTGACCCCCACCATCAAGTTACAACTAGAGCATGACTAGGTAGATGACTGCTACGTATTCGTCACAGACTGCATCTTCATCTCCCTCCCAGCAGTAACCATTTTCATTCATTATTTTAAAACTTCCTTTATTTCCTATTACTTATCTCCTATGGGATACATACGCATATGTGTATACATGTATATTTAGTTTGTCTGATATATAAATGAACCATTTTGTTCTTGATTAGTTATCCTGCTCTGCTTGTTTTATTTTGCTTTACCTATGTTGATAAGTGTAGCTCTAGTTCATTCCTATTTACTGCTGAATTCTTATTTACACTTCTTAGTTCATTCTTTCATTGACTCTTATTTACACTTACTTATTCTTCCTCCGTAGTCACTAACACTCTTTCCAGCATTAGGCTGCTGTAAACTTCCCTATGCATGCTTCCTCTTCTACATGTGCAAGTATTACTCTAGGTTATATACCTACAAATGAAAATACTGAGTCATGATATATGCACATTTTCAACTATGCATGGCAATTCCAAGCTGATTTCTTAAGAAGTTGTACCAATTTATGTTTCTACCAGTAGTAGATGGGACCTCATGTCATTGCTTCACATGTTGGGAATTGTATTAGTCCGTTCTCAAGCTGCTAATAAAGACATACCCAGAGGCTGGGTAATTTGTAATAATTTATAAAAGAAATAGGTACAATTGACTCACAGATCAGCATGGCTGGAGAGGCCTCAAGGAAACTTACAATCATGGCAGAAAGGGAAGCAAACACATCCTTCTTCACGTGGTGGCAGCAAGGAGAAGTGTCAAGCAAAAAGAGGGAAAAGCCTTTATAAAGCCGTCAGATCTCGTGAGAACTCACTCAATATCAGAAGAACAGCATGAAGGTAACTGCCCCTACAATTAAATTACCTCCCACTGGGTCCCTCCTTCAACACATGGGGATTAGGGGAACTACAATTTAAGATCAGATTGGAGTGGGAACACAGCCAAACCATACCAGGAATTTTAACTTCTGACTTTTTAGGGGGAGTCCACCCATGCTATGGTCTGAAATTTTGTGTTCTGAGAAATTTGTATGTTGAAACCTAATCACCAATGCAATAATGGAGAGTTTAGAAGGTGATTAGGTCACAAAATTCTCATGAATGGAATCAGTTCCCTTATTAAAGAGCCCCTAAAGAGCTTGCTTGTGTCTTCCACCATGAATGGCCAGTGGCTTCTTGAGCCTCAGAAACTAAACTGACCAAGAATCTAATAAGAGCTTGAGAAAGGCAGTTTATTGGGATTTTCAACTTCAGCAGAAAGAAAAACAGCAAAGGAGGAAAACCTGCAGCTGGCTCACTGAAAGCAAGCTAGTCTCAGTTTTTATTCTTCTTTGGGCCTCATCCAGGTAACATCATCAAATATTTGAGGTGGCCCCTTGGCTGCACCTGTGCAGTCTGTCTTCATGCTTCTTCATACACCCCATCTCTTATTAGCATCTGAAATATCCACCCAGGGGTATAATTTTTATTATTAAAATGATGCAAAGGTTAGGGTAGGGCAAGCTAAAACCCTACAGCACATGTGTATTTGGGGAGGGTCTATTGGAAAGTCCCTATGCTGATGGCCAAGATGTTTGTGGTTAAAGTGCTCTATTTCTTTTAAGTCTGATTAACTGATTTTACGAGAGGGAGTGTCAGTGGCTGACAGCTATGGATCTGGGTGCAGCTGTAGTCAGCACAGCATGCAAAAAAAGTGGGGAGGGTTCCTTGCCCTGCGTTCCCTATCTACCTCATGAGGACCCATTGAGAAGTTGCCACCTGTAAGGAATAGGCCCTCACCAGACACTGAATCTGCCAGTGCCTTGATCTTGGACTTCCCAGCCTCCAGAACCAGAAAAAATATAGTAAATGTTTCTCTTTATAAGCTACTCAGTTTGGATATTTTGTTACTGCAGTCCAAACAAACTAAGAAAACCCCAATGAAAGATTTTTGCCATGGTTGCAGAATCTGAGTGTCAAGGCACTGGGGAAGAGCTCCATCTGTTTATTGAGACCTCTAACAGCTCACATCAGGTGGGGAAGATATTTGGCCTGTAAGGCACAGGTCTCCGGAGCTGGTGACTCTCCCATTTCACTTGCAGCTATGTCAAAATATTGCTGCTTCTTCTTTTTTTTTTTTTTTTTGAGACAGAGTCTCACTCTGTTGCCCAGACTGGAGTTCATTGACACGATCTCAGCTCACTGCAACTTCCACCTCCTGGGTTCAAGCGATTCTTGTGCTTCAGCCTCCGGATTAGCTGGGACTACAGGCATGTGCCACTACACCCAGCTAATTTTTGTATTTTTAGTAGAGACAAGGTTTTACCATGTTGGATGGCCAGGATGGTCTCGATCTCTTGACCTTGTGATCTGCCCACCTCGGCCTCCCAAAGTGCTGGTATTACAGGAGTGAGTCATCACACCCGGCCAAAATATTACTTCTTCTTAGAGTGTCTCTGCAGTAGCCTGTCTTAAAGAGAATTCCCTTCTCAGACACTATCCCTCAACAACAAGTGCTACATATGCCACCATCTGAAATCTAATCAAATATTTCTTTGTTTTCTGGTTTGTACTCTGCCTCACATCTAGATCATCATTGTATAACATGGTCACCATAAACCACATGGGGCTATCGAGCACTTCAAATGGGTCTAGTCCAAATTGGGAGTTGCTGTATGTATAAAATACACACACCACCTTTCCAAGTTTACTATGAAAAAGAAAAAATTAAAATATATTATTAATAATTTATATAATTACATGTTTAAATGAAAATATTTTAGATATATTGAAACCGCCTTTGCAAAATTATGACTGCCACAGTGAAAGAGATCTAAGTTAATTGACTCCATCTTGCTTCTAACCTCCAAGTTGTCCTTGTTCATTCCTGGGTGTACACTGAACTAACTTTGGAAGAAACTTAGTTTGTAGTTTATAGTTTAAAACAAAGACGATAACAGCCCCTTTCCAAAGCAGACCTCCTTCTTGCCTGAGGAGTAGATTGCCTTTGTAGGACTAATATTAGCCATAAGATTAGAAATTATGGTTTAGCAGTCATGCAACTGGAGGACACAAGATTCTGACCTTCCCTAAACTGCTCCTAAGATCAGTGCTTGAGACATTTTGCAGACTGCCCTTGATGGATCAACTGGCACCACCCAGATGGATAAACTGGCTCATATGATCTTGAGACCCCCACCCAGGAACTGACTCCGTACAAGAAGACAGCTTCAAATCCCTATGATTTCATCCCTGACCAACCAGAATTACTGGTTCACTGGCTTTCCCCCCACTCACCAAGTTGCCCTTAGAAACTCTGCTTCCTGAATGCTCCAAGAGGCTGATTTGAATAATAGTAAAACTCCAGTCTCCTGCATAGCCACGTTTGTATGAATTACTCTTTCTCTATTGCAATTCCCCCGTCTTGATGAATCAGCTCTGTCGAGGCAGTGGGCAAGGTGAATGCCTTGGACAGTTACAATGTAAGTTAAATAAATTATATTATGAGATTAATTTAACTTGTTTTAAGTATGTACCTTAAACTTACAGACGTGGCTTACATTGGACAGCTCTGCTTTAGAATGTGAGTTCCAGGAGGCCTCCACTTTGTCTCTTCTACCACCTTATCCCCAGCTCCAGGAGTGCAGCTGGTGCTTGAAAAATATTTGCTAAGCATCGACTGATAAACATTTAAATGTGAAATTTTCAGAAGTGCTCGAACCAGAGCAACTCCATCTTGAGTGAGGGCTAAGAAAATAAGGCTGGCACTTGCTGGGCTGTGTTCTCAGAAAGTTAGGCATTCCTAGCCTCTAGATGTTTATGGTTAACAGAACAAATTAATAATGTTTACTAAAACAGACCCAGACTTGGAAGTGTCCAGATAATCCTGCTATCTGGATAACAAAGGCATTCCTAATTTTGCTTTAAAGATAATAATACTGATTCTTGCAAAATATAGTAATTAAGAAAATTAATTCTTTATCACAAACCCTTATAGCAGAATGCATCTCCTCATATATACAAGCATTGTACCTAGGGTGGAGGCCTTCCTCTTCTTACTTTCGGGAACATCCTACTCTGTCTATGGAGTAGCTGTCCTTTCACCACTTTACTTTCTTAATAAACTTGCTTTCACTTTGCACTGTGGACTCGCCATGAATTCTTTCTTGCTTGATATCCAACAACCCTCTCTTGGGGTCTGGATCAGGACCCCTTTCCTGTAACAAAATTGTTTTCCATAACAGCTAGAATAGGGTGAAGCTTTACCTTGGCTGTCTGCATTCAAGTTAAAATACCAAGTACAATTTAAGATATATTTGTAACATGGAGAATTCTCCCAGCTCCCTGTCCATTGTCCCTGAAAGGACAAATACCTATTAAAAATAAGAGGCTTAATTCTCCGTGTTGAAAATAAGGGAAGAGACTGCCCTCTCCTTCTTTTTCTCAGAGAACTTTTGAATTGTACATTAATCCTCCTAAAGACTAAAGAGGCCATTTGTCAGCTTTATGACTTAGGAATGTGTTTCTCAAGGACATGGGACCCATCTCTTTGAAATGTAATCATCAGGAAGAATAGCACCCCTCTCCCAGCTTCTGAGGAAGGGTGAGAGCCTAACTTCCACAGGCCTCTCCCTCCAGTTGCAGAACTGCCTCCTGTCAAAAATGTAACTGCCAGGCTGAGGCAGGTGGATCACCTGAGGTCAGGAGTTTGAGACCAGCCTGGCCAACATGGTGAATCCCTGTCTCTACTAAAAATTCAAAAATTAGCCAGGCACAGTAGCAGACACCTAGCTACTCAGTGTTGTGGGAAGTCAGGGACTCTGAATGGAGGGACCAGCTGAAACTGCGATAGAAGAACATAAATTGTGAAGATCTCATGGACATTTATCAGTTCCCAAAATTAATACTTTTATAATTTCTTATGCCTGTCTTTACTGCAGTCTCTGAACATAAATTGTGAAGATTTCATGGACATTTATCACTTCCCCAATCAATACTCTTATAATTTCTTATGCCTGTCTTTAATCTTTTAATCCCATCATCTTTGTAAGCTGAGGATGTATGTCGCCTCAAGACCCTGTGATGATTGCGTTAACTGTACAAATTGTTTGTAAAACATGTGTGTTTGAACAATATGATATGAAATCAGGGTACCCTGAAAAAGAACAGTGTAACAGTGATTTTCAGGGAATGAGGAAAGAAAACCCTAAGGTCTGACTGCCTGTGGGGTTGGGCAAAATAGAGCCATATTTTTCTTCTTGCAGACAGCCTATCGATGGACATGTGAGTAAGAGAATATCGCTGAATTCTTTTCCCAGAAAGCAATATTATTAATTAATACCCTTGGAAAGGAATGCATTCCCAGGGGTAGGTCTATAGATGGCCGCTCTGGGAGTGTCTGTCTTATGCAGTTGAGAAAAGGACTGAAATACACCCTGCTCTCCTGCAGTGCCCTCAGGCTTACTAGGATTGAGAAATTCCAGCCTGGTAGATTCTAGTCAGACCGGCTGTCTGCTCTCAAACCCTGTTTCCTGTTAAGATGTTCATCAAGACAATGCGTGCACAGCAGGACACAGACCCTCATCAGTAATTCTAATTTTGCCCTTGCCTTGTGATCTTTTATTGCCCACTGAAGCATGTGATCTTTGTGACTTACTCCCTGTTCGTACATCCCTTCCCCTTTCAAAATCCCTAATAAAAACTTGCTGGTTTTGTGGCTCGAGGTCGCCATCACGGTCCTACCAATATGTGATGACACCCCCAGAGGCCCAGCTGTAAAATTTCTCTCTTGCACTCTTTATTTCTCAGACCAGCCAACACTTAGGGAAAATAGAAAAGAACCTACGTTGAAATATTGGGGGCTGGTTCCTCCGATAACTTCGGAGGCTGAGGCATGAGAATTGCTTGAACCCAGGAGGTGGAGGTTGCAGTGAGCTGAGATTGCGCCATTGCTTTCCAGCCTGGGTGACAGAGTGAGACTTTGTCCCCGCCTCCAAAAAAAAGTAACTGGCCCATGGGTTCTTTCTGCCACTCCACACATAAAGACCATGGCATTGCAGAAGAGAAAGAGTTTAACGGACACAAGGCCAGCTACAATATGCAGGAGACAGAGTTAGTACTCAAATCAGTCTCCCCAAAGGCCCATTGTTAGGGGTTTTTCAAAAGCAGGTTGGGGGAAGGGGTGGGGATGGCCAGGTAATGGGTGCTTGCTGCTGATTGGTTAGGGCAGAGATGAAATCATGGAGGCAGGGGATGGAAACTGTCCTCTTGAGCTGAATTGCTTCTGGGTGGGTTCCCAGAAGCCAGATGGTCAGGTTCAGGTGGAGCCATGGGTGTCAGTCAGGAAATAAATTTAAAAAAACCTGAAAAGATATCTCAAAAGGCTAATCTGCAATACTGATGTTATTTGCAGGAATGACTGGCAATCATTTATGTCTACACCTTAGTAGAATTCAGATTCCTCTCCTCACCTAACCTGATGGCCTTTCATTAGTTTTACAAAAGCAGTTGAGTTTTGGGAGAAGGGTATTATCATTTAAACCATAAACTAAATGTCTTCCAAAGTTAGCTCAGCCCACAAGCCCAGGAATAATTAAGGGAAAGGCAAGATTGGGGGGTTGGTTTAAATCAGTTCCCTTTCACTGCCATAAATTTCTCACTGTTATAATTTTTGCAAAAGTGGATTCAAAAAGATATGAAAAGTGTGTTTCTTCTCTAGATAAGGCTGATGAGCTAACACAGATGGCCACCCCAATCGCCTGGTGAATTTAAGATGAACTATAAGCAAATGGTGCTGGAACACCCTCTCACTAGTAATTACGTGTCTTGAACACATGCATATGGTTGTACCTTCTTGGCTGTACAAAAGAATAAGATTACCTTTGCAGCCTCTTAGCTGATTGTGTCAGAGGCATTTGAACCAGAGTGACTCCATCTTGAACAGACGCTGGGTAAAATAGGCTGAGACCTACTAGGCTGCATTCCCAGGAGAATAGGCATTCTTAGGCACAGAATGAGATAGAGGTCAGCACAACATACAGGTCACAAAACCCTTGCTGATAAAACAGGTTGTGGTAAAGAAGCCCGCCAAAACTCACCAAAATCAAGATATTGACAAAAACGGCCTCTGGTCAACCTCACTGCTCATTATACACTAATTAGAATACATTAGTGTCAGAGGCATGTGAACCAGAGCAACTCCATCTTGAATGGGGCTAGGTAAAATGAGGCTGAAACCTACTGGGCTGCATTCCCAGACTGTTAAGGCATTCTAAGTCACAGGATGAGACAGAAGGTCAGGACAAGACACAGGTCATAAAGACCTTACTGATAAAACAGGTCGCAGTAAAGAAGCCAGAGAAAATCCACCAAAAACAAGATGATGACGAGAGTCACCTCTGGTCATCCTCACTTACCACACTCCCACCAGTGCCATGACAGTTTACAAATGCCATGGCAATGGCAGGAAGTTACTCTATATGGTCTAAAAAGGGGAAGCATGAAGAATCCACCCTTTATATAGCACATCATCAAGAAATAACTGTAAAAAATAGGCAACCAGGAGCCCTTGGGGCTGCTCTGTCTATGCAGTAGCCATTCTTTGATTCCACTGCTTTCTTAACTTGCTTTCACTTTACTCTATGGACTTGCCTTGAATTCTTTCTTGGATCCAAGAACCCTCTCTTGGGCTCTGGATTGGGACCCCTTTCCTGTAATATCTTCCTGGCAACCACAGAAGGGACTAGAGTGCAGAAACCCCTGACCCAAAGGCTAAGTGGTGGGGTCCTGTAACATTAGCATGCTAAGAGGCACTCCCTCCAGCGTCATGACAGTTCACAAATGCCATGGCAATGTCAGGAAGTTACCCTATATGGGTCTAAAAGGGGGAAGAACCTTCAGTTTGGGGAATTGCCCACTCCTTTCCTGGAAAACTTATCTACCCCTTGTTTAGTATATTATCAAGAAATAACTACAAGTATCCTTAGTCCAGCAGCCCATGCTGCTGCTCTGCCATGGAGTGGCCATTCTTTATTCCTTTACTTTTTTGGTGAGGGGACAAGGTCTAGTTCTATCACTCAGGCTGGAGAGCAGCCGCAGGATGTCAACTCACTGCAACCTCTGCCTCTCAGGCTAAAGTGATTCTCTTGCCTCAGCTTTCCGAGGAGCTGGGACTACAGATGTACACGACCACACCTGGCTAATTTTTATATTTTTTGTAGAGATGGGGTCTCACCATGTTGCCCAGACTGGTCTTGAACTCTTGAGCTCAAGCAATCTGCCTGCCTTGGCCTCCCAAAGTGCTGGGATTACAGGTGTGAGCCACCACACATTCCTTCACTTTCTGACTCTTCCATGAGGCCCAAGAACCTTCTCTTGGGATCTGGATCAGGACTCCTTTCTGGTAACAAATTGCACGTGGTGCACATCACATGCTGATTGAATGCTTATTCTATAATAAAACTGTTTTCTCTATTTTTTTCCTGTTTTTTGTTTGTTTTGTTTTTTCTCTATTCTGTTTTCTTTCTCCACTATTTTTGTAAAGAGGTTATCTGAGTAGGGAGGCGATTTTGTTTTCAATTCTATCACTCTCCCCAAAACTGGAAACCTTACATGTTGGAAATGAGTACTTAAATGTTACCAAAACGTAAAAAAATGGTGGAGCAGTTTAAGCTGAGATCCAATCAAGAATTACTTGAAATTAACATAAAAATAAAGCAGAAAGCCAATTTGCCCAGGTATCTACAACTCCCTCCCCAGCCTTCCGGCCTAGTTAATAGCCGGCTCAGCTACTGTGAAAAGGGAATCCTTTGTTTGCACAAACTGCTGTTTCTTAAGGCCAACATCTGTAAAAACGTTCAAAGCCACTTTTAAAAAACTATAACAATCCACCCCAGCTGCTCCCAGAAGATTCCTGGGCCCGCAACCCGCCACTCCAGCACCGCAGCCTGGCTTCTGCACCTGCGCGAGGAAACTATCTGGGCCCCACAGGAGCCCTTCTGCCCCGCCCCGCGGCCACCTCGGCCTCCGCTCTGCGCCTGCGCTCGGATTGAGCTTTGACCCTTCAGGGAGCGCTGGGCCCTGCGTCACCGCCACCTCGGCCTCCGCTCTGCGCCTGCGCAGGATCCTCTTGGTCCTATCGCGAGTGGTGCAGAGAATGGCGGGATTGGGAGCGCGTCCTGCCAGGCTTTGACCCGCTCCCTCCAACTGCACATGCAGCCGCTGCGGGGACGCCGGGGTTGGGGCTGGGGGCGGGGAAGGAGCGTCCGGGAGTGGGCCGTGCCCCCATGGATTCCAGAAACCCGCGGCCCGGAGTCGCGGGGCGTCCCGAGGGAGACCTGGCCCCTGGTGGGAGGCGGGCGCTCCTCGAGGGCGGGGAGTTGGCGGGAAGAGGACGAGGCCGCGCTCACCGGATTCAGACCCAGAAACCACTTCCTCCAGGCATCCCGGCAAGAAACGGGCTTCGGAGACGGCGGCCACCCCTCTCCCTGCCTAGGAGTGCGCCCGCCGCAGCACCCGGGGCCTGAACGCAACGGGAGCTCCAGAGCCCGCGAGTCCCAGAGCTCAGGATGCAGGATCCGTTCCTCTTGAGGCCTACCTGGGAATTCCGTGAACGTCAAGCCAAAGTGGGACCCTAGGGATTCGCTGACCCGGTTCTGGATTCACGCCAATTGCCTCTCATTTCAGAGAACATTGAGGTAGCCAAGGTTTTCCAGAAGCCTCGCCCACTGCATCTGTGCTCTCCTGCTCGGTGTTTCCTCCTCCAGCACCAAGCTCCGGGTGCAGCCTCCTCTCTACCTGAGATGCGACCTCACACCTCCGTTTGCTCCAGGAGCAGCTCCAGCGGGTCCCCCTCCGCTCCTCTGCACCTGCAGCATCCCCTCCCAGCTGGGGTGCTCCCATTAGCATATTTAAGCACAAGCATACCTGACACCACTGCTGGGAAACACATCCATAGATGTATGGAAAAACTCCTCAAGCTCAGACACTTAGAAAACCCCAAACGAGATTCATCTTCTGAAAATACTCCTGCTGTGATAACAATGGCAGGATCTAATGATAGGGAGAAAATTGCTTCTGCCACATTTCTGTTACCCGTTTGTTCCTGATGTTTCTCCCCAGTATTTGACGATTGACGTCATCCAAGAACCCTTACGGAAGAGGACCTGGTCGCCTGTTTGAACTGAGCTTTCTTAGGGAAGCGGAGCTTTTAATTTACTTTATAGAAATAACTGCGTGTAGTACTCCTAGAAGATGGGAAATCTGAAACATGAAAATTTTCAGTATTTCTCTTCATATGACTTGCAAAAATGAACTCTTTCCTGTACTTAGAGATCTTAAAGTTTCATTGATACATTGAAAACAAAACTAACGTTTTAAATTATATACACACATGCCCATAAACATATACATACTTAACATACGTACATGTTTATATGAAATATCTCACATTTGCATGTATAGACATTATTGAGCAAAAATACCAGAAATAGCCAATGCTTTTGTTTTCTCAATAAAACAATGAAGTCCTTCAGGAACTTTCAAAGGGGTTTACTTATGCATAATTTTGCAGTCACTGGCCTGCTCTAAAGAATGGGGAACACTCAGACTTGCAATGGACAGAAAGGAAGTGCCCATGTATTGCCTTTGCTGTATTAGCCTGTGCCATAATTATCCAGCAATGAAAGAAATAGAGTTGTGATGCTTAAAATAGGGTTGTGGATAAAAGAGAATTTATTATTCTACATTCACAGAATTTATGAATCTCTCCCAATGTCAAGATATTTCTAGCTCTCCTCTTTTTATCCAGCTCTGGAAAAAAGGGCAAAATCATTAAACTCAACTAGGATTCAAACCAAAATCATTAAACTCAACTAGGACTCAAACCATAAAGCACACTTAACTATGGGATCATATCAGTCAACTAGTTTCAGTTTAAATATCACTTGAATTATAAGCTCTACCTCTTTTCTCTTGTGTATAGCTGACTCCTGTACATCCTTCACATTTCAAACAAGTTACTTGCTCTATTCCCAGCATCCATTGCTAGCACAACTCTTAAAATAGAGCACATTCTTGGTAAGTATTTGTTGAAAGAATTATCATTACCATGTGCTGGGCTATATGGGATGATGGATAGATGGGATGATTCAATATTTATTGAAATTAATAAGTCTGTGCTCTGCTTCTTCCAAACCACTTCCTACTCTATAAACAGGAACTCCTCCTATAGCTGTGAGTGAGGGGCAGATATCTACACATATAACTCACTTCGTGCTGGGTGTGGACAAGCCTAGTGTTATACAGATCTGGGCCTCACAGGACAGCAGAGTGAAGTCATGACTAGCCAAGGCCATTAATTCCATTTTTAGAAGAGGAGACATTTGTAAAGTATATAGGGTGACATAAGGTGACTTGTTTATAAGAGAATTTGGGGAACAAGTGGTTCAGGGAACAATTATTTCATCTCTTGTTTCTTTGTACATTACTATCTGCAGGCCTATGAGATGAGAACTGCAGTCTTCAAAATGATGATCATGGGGTATCAAAGAGAGCGAGTTATGATGAGTTATCCTCTACTCCCTACCACAGGAAATGGACCTATCTCATTTAAACTTTACTTCATTAAGATCTAACAATGCAGGACTTTTCTTCTTAATTCTCAGTTCGCTAGAACAAACCCTTCTCTCAGCATTTCTGTTATTAAAGTTCACTGGAATGCTTAAATAAAAGAGGACCCCTACCTTTTATATATTGTAATTAAGCAACAAAGCTGACATCTTTCTAAAATACATATGTGGTAAAGCAGAATCAACATTGCACTAGGAGACTGGAAAAAAACATGAAGGTTTTTGATATATACTACTTATATAAACTTGAGCCATCTTTTTATTTCTTTCAACTTCCATATCCTCAACTGTAATATGGGGCTTAGCCTCTATAGCCAAAAACTGTTTGGGGCTACAAGGAATTAATTAATATGAGAGTCCTTGGATATTTCTAAAATACAATAAAAGTGCAAAAGATTATTATGGTTAAACTGTTTATTTAAATCTGCCATTTACTAGTTTTGTGACTTAATCATTTAACCTGACAGCAATATAGTTAATAGTTATCAAACACTATGTGCCAGGCAGTGTTTAGTGTGCTTTAAACATAATAACTCATTTAAAGGTAAAAAAGAAGCAATGGACAACAAAAAAACCCTACGAACTAGATGTTATTGTCCTAATTTACACATTAGGAAACAGGCATGGGTTAAGTGACTTGCCTTGCCCAAGTCAGACAATTAATGAATGGCAGAGCAGGAAATCAAACCTGGGTAGGTTCCAGCATCCATAACTCTTAGTGAAAAATTCTATACAGCCATATCTGTAAAATAACAAAATACATTATCATTAAAGGAATATTAAATATGGATAAATAATGAGTATTCTACTATATGTGATGTTTACATGATTAACCCCATGTATTAGTTCTCACACTACTATAAAGAAATACCTGAGACTGGCCGGGTGCGGTGTCTCATGCCTGTAATCCCAGCACATTGGGAGGCCGAGGTGGGCAGATCACGAGGTCAGGAGATCAAGACCATCCTGGCTAACACGGTGAAACCCCGTCTCTACTAAAAATACAAAAAAATTAGCTGGGTGTGGTGGTGGGTGCCTGTAGTCCCAGCTACTCAGGAGGCTGAGGCAGGAGAATGGCGTGAACTCGGGGGGCAGAGCTTGCAGTGAGTGGAGATCATGCCGCTGCACTCCAGCCTGGGCGACAGAGTGAGACTCCGTCTAAAAAAAAAAAAAAAAGAAATGCCTGAGACTGAGTAATTTATAAAGAAAACAGGTTTAATTGGCTCATGGATCTGCAGGCTCTACAGGAAGCATAGCAGCTTTTGCATCCGGGGAGACCTCAAGAAACTTACAAACATGACAGAAGGCAAAAGGAAAGCAGGCACATCTTACATGGCTGGAGCAGGAGGCAAAGCGAGAGAGGGGAGGTGCTATACACTTTTAAACAACCAGATCTCATGATAACTCACTCACTCTCGCAAGAACAGCACCAAGGGGATGATGCGAAACTATTCATGAGAACTCCACCCCCAGGATCCAGTCACCTCCCACCGTGCCCCACCTTCAAAACAGGATCACAATTTGACATGAGATTTGGTGGGGACACAGATCCAAACCATACCACCCCTAATCATGAAACGGACTTGTGCACATTAATCAATATGTGTCCTGCTTTCCAATAAATAAGCACATATGTGGCTCATTCATTAATGTTCTAGAAGATGGATCACCTGATGATTAGATCAGTACCAAGCTTCATGACTTACAATGGGGCTATGTCCCAATAAACCCATTGTAAGTAGAAAATGCATTTAATATGCCTAACTTACCAATTATCTTAGCCTAGCTGACCTAAAACATGCTCAGAACACTTACTTTAGCCTACAGTTGGGTAAAACCATCTAACAAGCATATTTTATAATAAAGTGTTGAATATCTCATGAAATTTATTGAATACTGAAAGTGAAAAATAAAATGGTTGTACAGGTACTCAAAGTACAATTTCTACTGAATACATATTGCTTTCACATCATCATAAAGTCAAAAAATCATTAAGCGGAGACGTTGTAAGCTGGGGACTGTCTATATATTTGTTAAAATGTTCTGCCATTAGCCATCAACCAAACAGAAAGTATTCAATTTCCCTGGATTGAAGATCTCTAAAACCAGGATCTCATAGCACCAGATATCAAAGCAGACAGGCAGACACCTGGAGACACGTCTCCTGCAGAGAGAATCCATGAGAGGGCATCAGAGTTCACTTGAGGCTTACTGAGGAGGGAAGAGACACACTGCAGAGGTTTAGCTTAGAAATTGATTTGACTTAGCCAGGAGTTGATTTGTTTTCAAGGAATAGAACCTGCTTTGGCTTGCTGCATAGAAAGGGGGTTTATTAGAAATATGTGTATTACACTTCCTAAAAAAAAAAGTGTGACTGGACCTCACAAGAGCTAGGATTTAGAAAGTAATAACTCCCAATAAACAAGACAGTTCCTTTGTCCATCCTTGTTTCTAGAGATTCCTGATCTCTTTCTTCCTCTGTTTCTCTCTGATTCTCCTCCTCATTCTTTTCTCTCTGTGCAGACAAGCTTTCTCTGATCCCATTGCATATGACTCAAACCTGGCCACCTCGACCCTGGCTTTTTCTTGCAAATGTCAAACAGAGACTGAATAGTAAATCTCTAAGTCTATATTTGCAGGAAACAGATTCTGATAGCTCCAGCTGTGGCCTAAGCCTTCACTTTGATCTAATCATCTTAATGCCAGCCAGCCTCACTACACCTGTCATCCACTCAGCAAAGCATGAGGCAGGAGACTCTATGGAAGCAGCCAGGCTAGAGAGGCAAAGGGAATCAAAAAAAATAGTGCAGTGCAAATACACAGCACCGTGCCCTTAGCATTTCTAACTTTGCAAGGGTGTCTCGAGACCCAGGATTAACATGAAATGCCACACAGGGCTAGTTAAGCTTAAAACTAGTCCATGGGGTCTCACTTACCTGAAGAGGCAGCCAAAAGTCCTGACACCATTGTGTATCCTCCAGCATGGCTGCCAGCCAGTCATCTGAAGATGACATCATGTATATCAAGAAAGAAACTAGCCAGTAACTCCTAGAAATGTGTGTCTATATTTTTCCTGTTCTTAATGAAAAGGAAACAGAAGATAATTTACTGGGTTGATATTTAATATATCGCTCATAGACCCCAGTAATTTGATAAGTATGGAAGTACTCACTTACTCAAGATTTTAAAACAAGATGATAAGTATTTATTGTTCTCCTGTCATGCTTATTCACATCTCCTGAAGAAAAGGCATACAAATCTCATCCTTGAAACGCCAAGAGGCTTAGAATTCCAAGAGGTAATTTCAAAAATGTTGACTGTGAACCTACTATGTACAGTGAAGAGTTGGGCTAGGTTACTGGGACACAAGAGTTGAGCAATAAACTATTTTTCCAGGTGTTCAGGATTGAAAAGGATAGAAATGCTCACTTTAACTCTAACACAAGGCACAGCTTAATGTGTGGTAGAGTCAAAAGGTTAAACAGTATGCAGAAATTAAGGAGAGAACAATTCTGACTTGTATCTATAAAGGCTTTATCGATGTATTCATTATTTCAAATCATCTTTTAGGCTCAGCTCTGAAAACAAAATATGATGCTTGCATGAAGGACATCACTGATGGCCTGGTTGTATGGTCCTGAATGGGAGCATGACACTTGGGGAAACCTGTTTACAGCATGGTGCGCAGCTGACATTTTCTCCTAACTCTGAAATTAATTTCAACCCTGCGTTAATCAAGGTTTATCTTGGTTATATAAACATATTTATCTTTGATGCAAGAAAATACTAATAGCATTAGAATAAAATCAGAATAATGACAAATGTAAACTATGCCATTCATCCCAGTGAAAAATGACACACCAGGGAATAATACTGATGTTGTTTTCTTAACAAAAAACGTTTGAGTTAAAAAGAGGAAAAAAAGAATATACAGGAATGTAAATAATTTAATCATGATCAGGACTAACACCATTGTCAATTTAACCTATTGGCAGCATTTTGGACACAAATTCAGTCTGTAGTAATTACATCTTTAAATAAGCAGTATCCATGCCAAAAACTAGTGTCCCGTGGTCTTGTGGTCAGTGATTATGAATATATCACTGAAGCCTGTGAAAAAGTTCTTCCTGCCACATGTCCTAATCATTAGCAAATACGTGTTTTCTTTTGCCTACTTGAAAGTGGGGAGGGGGCAATCTGGTCTGGATGCAAAGGTATTCCCTTTACAGAAAAATCACAGTTTTACATCATTTATCAGAAGTAATGTGGCTGGGTGCGGTGGCTCACGTCTGTAATCCCAGCACCTTGGGAGGCCGAGGTGGGCGGATCACAAGGTCAGATTGAGACCATCCTGGCTAACATGGTGAAACCCCATCTCTACTAAAAACACAAAAAATTAGCCGGGCGTGGTGGTGGGCGCCTGTAGTCCCAGTTACTTGGGAGTCTGAGGCAGGAGAATGGCGTGAACCCGGGAGACGGAGCTTGCAGTGAGTGGAGATCACACCACTGCACTCCATCCAGCCTGGGTGACAGAGTGAGACACCATCTCAAAAAAAAAAAAAAAAGTAATGCTTACATTTATAAAATCACTTTCAGGGAATGTCCACTCTCATAGTTCAAATGGTTATACATCTCAAGCTTGAAATGATTTATTCCCACTTGATTTAATATTTTCTGGAATATTTCAAATGGATTTTTAAGTTCTCATGCACACAGCTTGTTGTTAAATTATGTAAAGGTGTCACATTGTCATGAAATGCCCAAGTTTGAGGAGGGTATTGAAATGATGCCAATATAAATTACCATAGCAACAAACACATAAATTCATAGCCCAACTTATCCTCTAGGTGCTGAAATCTTTTCCAGCTCTCCAAAGCTCAGGCACAATGCAAATCAAACATTTAGCTGCTGAGAGACTTGGAGTCCAGGTATTCATCAACTCTGACTGCTATTGAATCATTAGGAATACTCAATAATAAATAACAAAAGCCATTTCTTTTAAACTTTCCAGGTGTTAAAAAGCCAGAGATTGTGCACAGTAATTTCACCTGCATAGCATATCTCTATGTCTGTCATACATAGGCTACATTTTGATAATTGATTGTATAAGAAAGAGAAGTCTGCATCCTAGGAAATGATGTTCTCCTTCACTTCTAAATTTCTTTCAGTCTGGCTCACAGCAATGACATCTTTGTCTCCTAGTAATTAATATGAATCAAAGCAGAGTGAGAAGACAGACACCAAAAAAAAAGGAGATATCACCAGCACCATGAGCAAAATATGTAACTAAAAATATATGAGGAAAATATATGAGGCACCAGGAGAATATGCTTTATCTTGTCCTTGTTTGACAGGCACATAAATCTCTCATCGCTGCTCTCATCCAAAACCAAGAGCTAAAAATATGAGGTGGCACCTGTGTTCTTAAACAGTGTTTTATGATGACAACAGCTTTCAAGGGAACAGTGTATTTTTGGTTGAGCATACTGTGCTGTCCCTTCAGACAACAGAAAACTTAGGATCTAGATTTGATTCCAATTGGAAAGTTTTGTAAAGAGCATGTCCTAAGTTCAGCCTTCTCTTTGTGCTTGTAAACAAGGTTATGATATAAATTATCCACTCAAATGTCTCTTTCCCCAGAATTTATCCTGCATCAGCTTTCCAAGCCTTTTGGTGCCTGAGAACCAGGGTAATGGAAGCTCAAAATGTCAGACACTCCTTTTCCCCAAACACACAAATTCTCTTGAATCTTCAAGCAGGAATTTTGATTTAAAACAATAATGTTTCAATATCCTTATTTCTTCGAAAAATTTTTAGAAGAAAATATTTAAAGTGAAAGGCTACATAAAGGATTCATTCATTTTATATTTATATATATATATTCCATTATGTAGTTATATATATGGGGTTTTTTTTTCATACAGGGTCTGGCTTTGTCACCCAGGCAGGAGTGCAGTAGCAGGATCTCAGTTTATTGCAACCTCTGCCGCCTGAGTTCAGACAACCCTCCCACCTCAGCCTCCCACTTAGTTGGGACTACAGGCATGCATCATCATGCCTGCTAATTTTTGTATTTTCTGCAGAGACAGCATTTCGTCAAGTCACCTAGGCTGGTCTCCAACTCCTGGGCTCAAGTGATCCACTCACCTCAACCTCCCAAAGTGCTGGGGTTAGAAGCGTGAGCCACCATGACCGTCCCATCAAATATTTTTTTGAGCTCATGATACATGTTCACAATCCTGTAGACACTGGGGATTCAGAAGTGCATAAACTCTAGGTTCTACCCTCACTGTCCTCACTTTTATAGAGAAAATAAAGCAGAAATAGGGGGGATCAGTCAGGAGGCTGTTGTGTAATTCAGTCAAGAGACATAATGGTGGTTTGGACCAGGTAGCACTGACGTCACCAGAATTGATCAGATTCCGGTTATTTAAAAGTAGAGCTGATGGGATTTACTGATAGACTTGCTGTCAGTTATAAGAAAAAGAGAAGATTCAAGAACAATTGCAAAGATTTTGGCCTGAGCAACTGCATGAATGATGGTGCCATTTAATGAGATAAAACTGTAATAAATGCACTAGGAAGATGAGGATTAATTTTGGATGTGCTCAATTTGAGAAATATTTCATACATCCAATAGAAAATATCAAGAAGAAATTTGGATATATGACTCTAGAGTCAGAGGGATGCCTCCGGCTGGATATATACATTTGAGAAACATTGGTGTATAGATGATGTTTAAAACCACAAGACTCCATGAGAATGTAGATGGAGAAGAGGTCCAAGACTGAGCCTGGGCGCTCTCTGGCGTTGATACTTGGGGAAATAAAGAAAAACTACTAAAGAGGCATGAGGAGGGATCCAAGAGGAAAAAATATTCCACAAGGGTGGGACTGACGAGATGAGGCAGATGGTTTGAGTGTGACGCATCACCATAGTCATGATGTGCATGAACGTTTGTGCCATCAGCTGATGGAACAGAGCAAAAGCACTGGGCTTGGGAACAGTGTCTCAAGCATATAATCATACTTTCTGGGAACTATTGAGTCACTGAGAGATAACAAAATAACAGCACAGAAAGGAACAAACAAGTGATAAGATCTCAGCCTCATATACCAGCTTCCTTTGCATACACCTCCATTCCACTAGGGAACATAATATATCTTTTAAAACATGGCATATGTGGTGGAATAATATTTTTTAATGGGAGCTCATGTATTAAATTTTATCCTGTAATTTTTCTTCCCATTTAGGAAACAGCTAGAGTATTGCATGTTTATTGCTTCAGGGACGATAAGGCATGATGGAAAAAGAAAAACAACAGTTTTATTTTTGCTTTTGCTTTTTACTTTGGGGATTCAAAAAATTGAAGAAGCAACACTTGCAAACTGTTCTTATGAGGCTAACATTAGTCCAATACCAAAGACGGACAATGATACTACGAGAAAACAAAATTACAGGCCAATATCCCTCAGAAACAGAGAGAAAAAAATCCTCAACAAAATGCTAGCAAATGATATTCAATGGCATATTAAAAGGATCATTCACCATGACCAAGTGAAATTTGTTACTGAGATGCAAAGGTTTTTCAACATATGCAAACCAATTAATGTGATATACTGTATTAACAGAATGAAAGATAAAAATCACATGATCACCTCAGAGTGCAGAAAAAAATTTGACAAAATTCAACTTTTTTATAATAAAAACTCTCAACAAAATAGGTACAGAAGGAATTTAGGCCGGGCGAAGTAGCTCACACCTGTAATCCCAACACTTTGGGAGGCTGAGGCTGCTGGATCATTTGAGGTCAGGAGTTTGGGACCAGCCTGGCCAACATGGCAAAACCCCATCTCTAGTAAAAATACAAAAATTAGCTGGGCCTGGTGGCACACACCTGTAATCCCAACTACTTGGGAAACCAAGGCAGGAGAATTGTTTGAACCCAGGAGGCAGAGGTTGCAGTAAGCTGAGATCAAGCCACTGCATTCCAGCCTGGATGACAGAGTGATACTCTGCTCTCACCCGAAAAAAGGAATTTACTTAACATAATAAAGGCTATATATGAATAGCAACTAACAACTAACATCATACTCGTTGGTGAAAACCTGAAAGCTTTTCCTCTAACATCCAGAACAAAGCAAGGATGCCCACTCTTACCACTTGTATTAAACATAGTATTGGAAGCTTTAGCCACAGCAATTAGTCAAGAAAAATAAACAAAGACATGCAAATCACAAAGGAAGAAGTAAAATGATCTCTGTTGGCAGATGACACATGGCAAGAACTCAAATGACTACACAAAAAAGTTCTGTTAGAATGAATAAGTAAATTCCTTCAATAAAATTGCAAATTATAAAATGAACATACAACTATCAGTTCCACTTCTATCCACTAACAAGAAACTATCCAAAAAGGAAATTAGAGAAAGAATACTATTTACAATAGCATCAAAAAAGAATGAAATACACAGGAATAAATTTAGCCAAAGTGGTGAAAAACTTGTACACTGAAAACTACAAAACTACAAACATTAAAGAAGACTTTTTATTTGCAAAACAGAAACAAATATTTCATTCATTTGGAGAGCTACTGTGAAGATTTTATGAAAACAAATGGGGACTTAGAAAGGTTCTTGAAATACATCAAGTGCATAATTAATGTCAGTTATACATCAAGTGCAAAATTAATGTCAGCTATTATTACACACCAGATCTTTTCACCTCTATCTCATACGGTCTCCCTGAAAGATAGGTATGGGGGTCAAGGTTTTAGCTTCAGAAAATCTAGAACCCAATGAAATGAAGCTTGAAATATATGCTAGGGCAACAAAAGGAAGGTAGATATTCCACTGTCTCTTTACACTGATAAGTGTCTATTACTAACCAGACACCATGTAGGATTTTATATAAAACTCAATTCCTACACTCTAATCCAGTTGATTAAATAAATAAAACAATTTTCTATTTTTCCCATTATAGGTCAGTTCGGCACATAACACTTCAATAAGCAGACACAAACTCTATTATAGTATAGCTTTTCCTACTCTTTTTAGAAGTGCCCAACAACATTCTTCAGGCAAAAAATGGAAATATTAGTGGGAGGAAAGTAAGTACACAGAGCTCACCAGGCAAAGTGCTGGCTCCTTTGGGATGAATTTTCCCTCAGCTGAAAGGCAGGTGAAAACACAAGCCTTCTGGAAAATTTATTTTTTCTTGGTGAAAAGATCAGGCTCCATGACTTGAATGCAGAGAACAGCGGTGGAATGAGGTAGCCTTGAGGCTGTCGGTGCAGGGATAGTGTATTAGTCCATTCTTGCATTGCTATAAAGAACTACCTGAGACTGGGTAATTTATGAAGAGGTTTAATTGGCTCATGGTTCTGCAGGCTTTATAGGAAGCATGGCTGGGGAGGCCTCAGGAAACTTACAATCATCTGTGGAAGGCAAAGAGGAAGCAGGTATGTCGCATATGGCTGGAACAGAAGAAAGAGGGAGAGTGGAGAGGTGCTACACACTTTTAAACAACCAGATTTCATGAGAACTCACTTGCTATCACAACACTTTTAAACAACCAGATCTCATGAGAACTCACTCACTATCACAAGAATAGCCAGGGAGAAATCCACCCCCATGATCTAATCACCTCCCAACAAGCCCTTCCTCCAACACTGCAGATTACAATTCAACATGAGATCTGGGTGGCAATACAAATCCAAACCATATCAGATAGGCCTTCACTATATACAATGGGTGGGCAAAATGGGCTTAAAAGTCGAAGAATTAAGGCTTTGGTTCCTATAATAAACTCGGATACTCTTTTGCCACTCTCATGCAGTGCCATTCACCACCCAGGCTTTGAGTCAGAGTCCAGCACAGTAGCTCACTTTGATCTCTGAGTGAACAATGGCTTCGTCTCATTTGAGGAGGAGGGTATATTTGAACCTGTGAAACACAACAGAGGGATCATCTTCCTGAAGTGGTAAGGATGGCCTTAGCCAAGGTTGTCATTGGTGACGAAAGCCTGTGTTTGCTTTGATTCTGCAGGGACTTTACCTTTCCCCTTTTCCTGGGGAAAAAACTTTCTCACTTATGTGGGAAACTAATATTGTAATTCAATACCAGCACCTGGGAAGGGGGCCTAAGTAGCAAGATTTTAAATGTGGAAGGAGGCCCCCTGCCTAGAAAAGCAATTCCCATTTGTTCACAAATGGAAAGGGGAAAAAAGCCTCCTTGAGTCTGGGAAAAGTAGACGTTTTCAAACTATATCTGGAAGCTAGGGTAAAGCTGTAAATAGCTCCTGGGAAGAGAATGTGACTCTACATTCACTTATAAGTAAGTGGGAGTGGAAACCCAGAGCAGGTCTCATAAATGCAGGAAGCTGGAAATGTTTGGAGCTTCCTTTGGCAACAACTGACTAAAGAAAATGTGGGATATTTTCTTGTACCTGGGTCCCTGGAGCTTCCTCTTCTGAGGCCTGTTCTCCAGACTTCTGGTTGATTCTTGGAGCCACCTGATGCTCTCCTGGTTACTTTTCTTATTGCTTAAGATAGCCAGAGATGATTTCTGTTGCTTGGACCAAAGAAGCTTATTGCTTAGAGCAAATACTTCTATCATTTGCTTAAAATAAAAATATCCCCAGTCCTAAATCTTTATTAGACATTTCATGGCTCAAATATCTCATGGAAGTATGGCAAATTGAATTATCAACATGCTAATAAACTAGCCCTAAAACCCTGAAAAGCAAACACAGAATCGGCACAGAAGCCATTGCAATCTAATATGCCACCCACAGGAATGAGCTGGCCCTGTCGGAGTCTTAGAGGGATGTACTGTCCTAGAATGTTCACGGTCCCAGTTCTCACTGACAGAGATGTGGCTCTATCTCATCATGGAGCCAGGAGTAGCCACCATTATGCACATAGTAAACACCACGCAACCAAGGACAAAGTCTCCGCCCCCTCCCCTTCCAGAGAGAGCAGTTGCCTTGACCCTGGGTCTTGTCTGTCACCATCAAATATTAGTCTGCTCCTCAGCAAATTACATAACTTCCTTAAGCCTCAGTCCTTCATCTGTAATGAAGACCCATGCCAGACCCTCCCTCACGGGGGCAGGCTGTGAATATTAAAGATGATTATAATGCAGAACTTCATGTTGGCCCAGATATGTTAAGTGATAATGTAATGTTAACATTATTATAATTTTGGTTATTAAGGAGCACCATAGCATAGTGGTTATAAAAACAGGGTCTAGAGTTAGAGTTCTCATGCTTAAATCTTGAGTTTCCTCTTACAAACTGGGTGAGTTTGGACATGTCTCCTAATCGCTTTGTATCTCAGTTACCACATCTGTATTCCAACAACTCCTGGGTATTTATCCTAGGGAAAGTAAAACTTCTGTTCACACATAAACCTGTGCACAAATGTTCATAGCAGTCTTAATTATAATAGCCAGAAGCCAGAAATAACCCAAATGTCTTTCAAAAGGTGAAAATGTTACCAACACACCAGGGGTTCCATCTAGGTCCTGTTGCTGGCTGCACAGAAAGCCAATCACCAAGACCAGGAGTATTTCCACGGAAGAAGGCTTTAATTGGGTGCTAGAAGGCTTTAATCGGGTGCTCCAAGGAAATGGGAGATCATTCTCAAATCTATCTCCTCAACCAACTAAAATTAAGGGTTCATATAGCAAGGAAGGTATGTCACCATGTACAGGAAAACAGGAATTAGGGAGGGGTAAGGAAGAGGAGTTGGTCAACAGGAAGCAGGCAGTCAGTGAGGAAGTCATGACGGGTGAGGGGCTTGGCATCTCATTGTGCAGGTGCAGTGACCTGGTGAGTTTCAGCTCCTTGATACTCTCTGGGAGGCCTGATGGTCAGTTTCCTGAAAAAAAAAAAATCAGATAGGAAAAATGTAACTTTCTTACATTTCAAGACTGGAAGATTCCATTTCTACATTTATTCAAAAGAAATCATAAATAAACCATCAGTTCTATGGGACAATTGGGCTGGTTTCAAAAGGACAAGTAAGCTGTGGTACATCCTGAGGGTGGAATACTCACTTAGCAAGAAAAAGAAATGAACTATTGATAAACAAATTGAATGGATCACAAGAGTATGATGGTGAATGAAGAAAAGCAATTGAGAGGTCATGTACCATCTCATGTGAATGAACAAGTTATCATGATGAAGCGTAGGAGGCAGAGCTGGGGAGAAGATGAAACTGTGAGGAGGTAGCGTAAGGGGGTTTTTTTTAGGAGGATGGGATATTTTTGTTTCCTGTTTGGGGGCAGTGGTTAAGTGAATCTATACGGGTGATAAAATTTCCTACAACTATTCACCAAAAAAAAAAAAAACAATAAATGCATGTAAAAACTGGTAAAATCTGAATAAGTTAGTAGTGTTGTACCAACATTAATTTTCTGGTTTGTTTTGATAATTGTATTATGGTGATGTAAGATGTTATCACTGGAGGAAGCAGAGGGAAGTGTACCCAGGAACTCTCAGGGCTATTTTTACTTTTAGGTGAGTCTAAAATTATTTCACAATAAAATAAAATGAAATAGCACCCATGTAGGATTGAACTCCATTATTCAGTAAATGGATGGTGCATGGTGGGATGTATATTTCTTGCGATTGGAGTAGACATTTATAGGTAACCAAGAGGAACCTAGAACTATCCATGTGATAATGAATTAGAGTTGGGAACATCAACATGAATTTGTTTACCTTAACAGAGATGACTACATATGGAAATAGCTATAGATACATGTATATGCATGGGTTAGTATACACACATATATTTCCTTGCTCAGTTAGCTAAAAGGGCCTAAAATAAATGATTCATATATATATATATATATATATATATAAAATTTTTTAAAGCAGGCACAGTGGTGCATTCCTGTATTGATGTTGGTAGATCACTTGAGCCCAGGAGTTTCAGTCTGTAGTACACTATGGTCACATCTGTTAATGGCCACTGCACTCTAGCCCTGGCAACATAGCAAGACCCTGTCTCTAAAAAATAAAAATAAAAAATGTTACCCAGTAGCAATGAGCACGCCTAGTCAGATTTTGGTTTCTAATGTCATTCTCCAATAATAGGAGCCAAGATTCTTTGGAGAAATGCTGATAATAAATGTTTATGAGTTTATACTGATAGAAATAAATGATTGAATAAATTCATAAATGAGGGAGAAGGGACAAATCTTCCATGCAACAGGAATCCCAAATAATTTGCATGGATATTCTGCCTTCAACGAGTGAAAGCAGGAGAAAAAAGAGTAACTTTACAGTGGAGAAAACCTGGCAAACACTACCTCACCCAGGTAATCAAAGTCAGTATCTATGGTCTCTCTTCCAAAACACCATCATCCCCCCTCATGTAATCATGAGAAAAACATCAGACGAATTTCAGCAGTAAGGGGGTTGGCATCCTACAAAATACCTTTTTGAAGAATTCCTCAAACTGTCAAAGTCATCAAAAATAAGGAAAGCTGGAGAACTGCCATAGACAAGTGGAACCTAAGGAGACCTAAGCACGTGCCACGTAACATCTAAAATGGGATCATGGACTGGGAAAGGGACATCAGGTGAAAACCTAGAAAATTGGAACAAATTCTGGACTTGATAACAATGTGTCAATATTGGTTCATTAATTGTAATAAGTATACCATACTACAGCAAGATGTTAATAATAGGGGAACTGAGTGTGGTGTATATGGGATTCCATGTGAAAGGATTACATTAATGAACAGCTTGGTGTAGGACGGATATCTAATGGCAAAGCTTCCTTCTGGAGGAGAGGATAACTAGAGAATTTAGAATGCCTGGGGTGGTGGGAGGGGAGCATCTCTAAGGTTGGAGCTCAGAGGTAGAAATGGAGGAGGCGAAGAAAACCAAGCTAAAAATGAGAAACTCTACACAATTCAATAAAATACAGTCAACTACCTAAATCTTGAATATGTGTCTGCTTAAGTCAGTTTCCAGTGTAATCTGGGAGGGCTGGACTCTGCAACTGGAAGGATCTGAGAAAAAACAAAGTGCAGAGCGATCTAGGTGGGGAGGCCCGCTGTGAGTAGCAGGCATTGCTCCTTAAGCTTTGGGGTGGTTCTTACCCTCAGCCCTCTTGAGTTGTCCACAGGCATGCACTGAGGAGCACTCCAAGGGAAGCGCCTGCAGATCTCCCAGCTTCCGTCTCTCAGCTCTCCTCTCATGGGCACCTAGTGTTACAAACTCCAGCTACCTAGTCTCCTGGGACTTTCAGCTCCACCTCCTCCAGCCAGGGAATCTTAGGCTTCATCCTGCATCTGTCCTGAAAACTCTCTCAAAGCACTTAGAGTGCAACTGTAGGTTTCATGTTTGTTTCTGCCTCGCAGGGATCACTCTGTTGTGTTGTCTGGTGTACAATGTTTTGAAAATACATTGCTTCATACTTTTGTCCATTTTATTTTACTTGTTGTTTCAGATGAGAAGATAAATCCAGTCCCAATTATCTCATTCAAAAATGCAAGTTAAGTCAATTATTTTAGTTGTATAATATTCCATCACATTGTTTCTAGTCTGGGCTATTATTAATAAATCTGCTATGGAGATAAATGCACATGTCTTGTGCTGGACATATATGTTCATTTCTCTTGAGTGTATACCTAGGAGTGTCATTACTGGATTATAAGGTAAGTGTAGGTTTAGCTTCCATAGATCCTGACCAAAGCAGCTCTACCTCCAAAGTGACTGCATCTCAACGCACTATTGACTTTAGCTCATCAAGAGTGTTTATTACGGAAAGGTTTTTTCTCCTGACTCTAAACTGCAGTGGCCATTGTTCTTGTTAAAATATTGTATATCACAGCTATTACTCTTAGCTGACTGCAAAGTAGCCTGGATACCATCTATGCTGTGTGAGTCAGAGGAGGGAAACCTGCCCAACCATTCTTCATTACTTGATCTCAATGGAAATCCTGATAATTCTGCCTGAGCAATCGATCCTTTCCTCACCACTTTATTTTGAGTTTCTATCCTATTTCTGTGTCCCCAAATGTCCATTCTTATGGCCTCTGCTTTGCTTCAGAGAGTAAATATCCTTTAAAAAAGAAACAAAAAATAAAGGAAAAGAAATACACAAACAGAGTGTTTGGGATTCAGTCTTTACGGCTTCCCTACTTTGTAAAAATACCTATCAAAATTCTAATAATCCTCTCGCAAATGACCCTGAGTTTATATGTTTGGGGTACTCGCTGCAACTCTCTGGGGGGTCTGCATTTTCTGAAAGGGTACTGCATGCATCCACCTGCACACTTAAGTCACGCATAATGGAACAAAGTGTGCTTTTTCAGGCTCCCCCGTTGCACTGTTGGCTGAGAGCAGGGAACTTAATTGGTTTTAAAACAGTCAAATTTAAGACATGCTGTGTCTTCCTTTTCAGAGATCAATCTAAGCACTTTCATAGAACCATGAAAGTGCTCCTTGGGGTGAAATAAATTTAACAGAAAAATCTAAATATTCTCTCCAAATAGCTCAAGTTCATCTTTGTTTCTAATGTTCCAAAGAGAAAAATGACCCTCTGGTTTGACAGAGACTAAAATATGCTAAAATATGTCAATACTTTGAACTTTAGCAGAAATAATGCTGGTGTGCATTTGTTTAGTTTTGTTGCCAAGCAGAGCTGCGAGAATTGCCGTGAGTCTGGCCCTGGAATATAAGATGCTGCATAGCTGTGTACTATGGGACATTATCTTCTACAGGGAGCTCAGTAGCTGCAAATTTCATAGCAGCCTAGGTAGGCTGGGGGCTGGAGCAAAACTATAGACACAGGTTCATTGTCCTTCTCAGAAAGCAGAAATAATGTAGAGGTCTCCTGAAGACAAAATTATGAAACAGTCTGTACATTAGCCACTGCTCTCCTATGGGCCTTACCATAATTAATCATAATGATTTTTAATGACTGTCATCTGTAACTCCAATACTTTGGGAGGCCAATGTGGGAGGGTTGCTTGAAGCCAGGAGTTCCAGACCAGCCTGGACAACATAGTGAGACCCCATTTCTACAAAAAATTACAAGAAATAGCCAGGCATGGTGACACACGCCTGTAGTCCCTGTTACTCCAGAGGCTGAGGCAGGAGGATTGCTTGAGCCTAGGAGTTTGAGGCTTCATGGGCTATGGTGGTACTACCACACTCTAGCCTGGGTGACAACCCCTGTATCCAAATAATAATAAGAATGATGACGATGATGACTTCAAGTAGGCATTAGAGAGGCCCCTCTCCCATCTAGGTACCTATTATAGCTTCCTTGTCTCTCCCTCTACATTTGTCAGTCAAATGGTAGACTATTTTAAATCATGATATAATGCTGAAAATGGGCCCACAGTCTCACATATTCTATATTTTTTAAGGGACTGGGTGTCAAATATGTGGACAGAACATTGCCATCAACACTGTAGAGGCTGAAGAAGAAATGGGAGAGGCAGGTCTTATTTAACCAGAGGACTTTTCCATGACTGGCATGTCCCTACCTGACAGTGTCCCTGAGTGACCCTAATGACAGGAAATGAGCATTTCGGCCTGGCATCAAGTGCTGCTGCTGCAATAGATCGGCAGGGCACAGTGGTTGTGAGCTGTAGGGGAAAGAAGTGAGGCCAGCATAGTCACACAGCTGTCCATGACAAGGACAATGCTTTAGGACGAAGCATCTTCCAAGAAGGGTTCGACAGAAAGAGGTGGACACAACAGCTGCAAGACCAGTTGTCCCGGGAGAATGTCCCTTCTTGCAACTGGACACCCATTCCCGCAGGAAAGCTGTGCTGCTTCCAACACATCGCCATCCCCACTGTTACCCACGGCTTCCTTCAGCCGCGTGCATGGAGCTGTTGTTAGCTTGTAAGTTCTCCCTGTGCTGCAGCCCCTGAGGCCTTGATGGAGACAGGGGACCTGAGGGCTCTACTCAGAGGAGAAGTCAGTTGCCAGGTGGGTCCTAAAGCTGGGGTGGCCAGCTTTGATTCTGAGCTTCATGGAATACCTGAGAATTCTCCAGGCTCCAGAATGAGTTTGAGGAAAGGAATTGCCTGTACTGACCTACCCCTATTAAAAACAGAAATTGGGGTCTGTTATACCAAAGTCCCTAAGGAGACAAGCTCCAGAAGCTATAATACTCATGACTGGCATGGCTCATGTGGAAAGGACTTAGGAGTTCCGAGGAGAGAGAGTGTGAGAGGATGGAAGAAGCCACCCGGAGACACTGGGTGTAAAAGGTATAATCATGGGTTCCTTTTTAGTCAATTCTTAGTGCGAACCATGAAATAGGCGGCAAGGGTTCCTGAGATTATAAAATGAGCTGCTTGACCCCTAGATAGTGAAACCCACCCACCTGTCCATAGAACTGGTGTTTAATGGTTTCTTTGTTTTTTTGGTTTGGGGTTTTATTTTAATTTTTTTTGAAACAGAATCTTGTTCTGTTGCCCAGGATGGAGTGCAGTGGCATGATCTCAGCTCACTACAACTTCTACCTCCCAGGTTCAAGTGATTCTTTGCCTCAGCCTCCCAAGTAGCTGGGATCAGAGGCACGCACCACCACGCCCAGCTAATTTTTATATTTTTAGTAGAAATAGCGTTTCACCATGTTGGTTAGGCTGGTCTCAAACTCCTGACCTCAAGCAATTCACCCGCCTAGGCCTCCCAAAGTGCTGAGATTGCAGGCTTGAGCCGATGTGCCCGGCCTAATGGTTTCTTTGAATAAAGATAGAAACTGATCCTCTCAGTCTTGAAACTTGAGAAAGTTCCATTTGTCTCATCTGAGTTCCTTTCTCAGGAAACCAACCATCAGGCCTCCCAGGGAGTATCAAGGCAGTGAAACTCACCAGGTTACTGCACTTGGACAATGACACACCAGACCCCTCACCCATCATGACTGTCTAACCAGACACCTGCTTCCAGTTGATCGACTCCCCTTCCTTCCCCCTCTCTCATTCCTGTTTACCAGATATGGTTACATCTCTTCCCTGCTACATAAACCCCTGATTTTAGTTGGTCAGGGAGAGGGAATTGAGACTGAGCTCCCATCTCCTCCACTGCAGCATCTGAATAAAGCCTTCTTTCCTGACAATACACATGGTCTCAGTGATTGCCTTTCTGTGCAGTGAGTACCAGGACCTAAACTGAACATCTGATGTTTTGGTAACAGTAGGACATGTCAAAAGATTGTGAATTTCATTCCGCAGCATTAGCTCATTGCCCTCCTAATACCTCTATCTGGCCAGGCGCAGTGGCTATGCCTGTAATCTCAGCTCTTTGGGAGGCTGAGGTGGGTGTATCATGAGGTCAGGGGTTTGAGACCAGCCTGACCAACATGGTGAAACCCCGTCTCTATGGAAAATACAAAAATTATCCGGGAGTGGTGGTGTGCACCTGTAATCCCAGCTACTCAGGAGGCTGAGGCAGGAGAATCATTTGAACCCAGGAGGCTGAGTTTGCAGTGAGCCGAGATCACGCCACTGCACTCCAGCCTGGGTGACTGTGCAAGACTCTGTCTCAAAAAAAAAAAAAAAGGGCAGTTTTGGAGACAGACGCAGTTACCACCCAACACTGGCAGCCCCTCTGTGCTGAGTGTGGCCCTGGACTCCAGTCTCTGGCTCCAGCTCAGGAGTGAGTCTCACTGGCCAATCAGAGCACCCTATCTCCCTGAACATGGTGATTGGTTCAGGGATGGTCATGTGACCAAAGCTGAGCCAAAAAGATTTCATCCAGGAATGTTTGCTAAAACTGTGGGTGGAGACTAAATATATCAGACCCCCCAAAAAATTCTGAAACAAATTATTGTTAACTATAGCCACCCTATTTTTATGCCTGTATCAAAGCATCACATGTACTTCCATAAATATATAAGTATTATGAGTCCATAATACTTAAATTTTTTTTAAATCCCTGATATAGAAATTTTGAGTATTACATCAGATGCTCATCCTGATAATATTTAAAGGGTAAGGGTACTTCAGTTAGCATAACAGTAGTTCATTGTAGACTGGTTTTTACTAAACACTACATTGTGTTATCAAAATGAATAAAAATATGCAGTTTTAATGAAGTAACCGCTATTTGAAGTGAGTGGACTTTGGACTCAACCGTTTGAAATGCTAGCAACTGACGATCTACTTACAGAACCATCTTATCCCCATGAAGGCCACACTATTCACAAGCAGTGGACACAGAGCCAAGGAAAACTTACGACAGAAGAAAACATCGCTCTTTTTAAAATAAATCTTAGGTCATAGTAGGTGGAATTATTAATTCTGGGGAGAGAAATGGACTGAGGAAACTCTCTAAACATTGGCCCTAAGAAAAAAAATTGGCAAAGTATTATAAATCCTTAGCGGGATAAAGCAGTTGAATTTCTGATAAATTGGTTATGTGAAAACTTCCCCTTTTCATTAGTATTCATCAGAATTAAGCAATTGTGATGTTGACTAATGAGAAAATGACATTTTCCAGCGTCCCCTTTTTACACCGAGGATAGGATTATTTCAGCCTTGTGTGAAATACAGCACTGATCAGCAGGCACAGGGCACCAGACATCCTTCATACTTTCTCATGCCTGAGATGCAGCTACACAAGAGAAAGTGATTCTACACTCCCTTCCCATCCAGAGCAGGAAGGATGGGATGTGTCGAGAGGACCCACAAATATATTTCAAACCAATGGCTCACTGGCTTGCTTTCCTGTTTTTTTCTTTAATGAAATAATACTTTCCTGGAACTTGACACAAACCCAAGACCAGGACCAACTTATCCAAGGAGTGGCATTCTCCCACCTCCCACACGGACTGTTCCATCCTGGCTATTCAAAAGACAGGCAAAACACCACCTCAGTGCACCCACGCCTTCACCCCTTCAAAGACGATAGGTCTGAATGGATGGAGGAAGAAGTGGGGTTTTTTCCCTCTCTCTTTCTCTTTTAAACTTCATACTCAAGTCTCCTCATCCATCCATCCACCCAGTCTTCTCCCTTCTATGAATGTCGGGAAAAATAAAAACTTTCTATTTCATTTTAATAACACTGTTTTATGTTCCTGTTCTTGCAGTACTTCAAACAGTGGGAAGACAATAAAATTATATCTCTGAGCCAAGCTAGAGTTCTGTTCCAAAAAGAAAAAAAATATGGTTTCTTAAATTGCTTCAACAGTTTATTTATTTTCCTAATACAGCAAAATACCAAGAGAACTATTTCTCTGACCCTTGGACATCTTGTTTCTCCCCTCTAAAGCCACGTTTCTTCAGCTTTCAACTCAGATCACAAGGCAGCCTGAAATTACTTTCCAATTTCATCTTCCAACCCCTCGTTATAATGGACATTTGATTCTTCTCTCTGGTTCAGCAGAGAGAAAAGGGGAAATCCCTTTTTGTAACAACACGTGGTTTCTTTAGGGGTAATAGTCCTCCCCTACTCTTCACATATCTGGTTCCATTTGGGTGGACTCACCCCCAGACTGCAGGGAAGGCCCTAGTTCTAGACCTGGCCAATCAAAGCATCTCAGTGCATGGGCCCTAGAATCATTTCAGAGACAAGGGCGCAAGCCAATGAGCCCTACCTGGGACTCTCAGTGGCCTACTGGGGAAACAGTTTTCCTTCACTTAGGTTTCTTAGCTTCCAGGATGGGAGTTGGAGGCCTTCTTTGTCCCCACTTGAGGAAGTTCTGTCTGAGAGAAAGGCCAATTCAGAAGAAAGGAGAGACAGAGATTGAAGATGAGGGGCACTGTTTGAGTCCTAGACCTAGCCAGTATAATTTAATCCTTTTCAATAAAATGCAACCCGGCCAGGCGCAGTGGCTCACACCTGTAATCCCAGCACTTTGGGAGGCCAAGGTGAGTGGATCACAAGGTCAGGAGTTCAAGACTAGCCTGGCCAAGATGGTGAAACCCCCATCTCTACTAAAAATACAAAAATTAGCTGGGTGTGGTGGTGTGCGCCTGTAATCCCAGCTACTTGGGAGGCTGAAGCAAAGAATTGCTTAAACTTGGGAGGCAGAGCTTGCAGTGAGCTGAGATCACACCGCTGCACTCCAGCCTGGACGACAGAGCAAGACTCCATCTCAAAAGTAATAATAATAATAATTAATTTTTAAAAAATGCAACCCAACATGAGTTGGGTCTCTGTCACTTGCAACCAAAAGAGTCTTGATAACTGCACTCAACACACACTCTGCCTCCCATCTCCCTCATCATTTTCTCCCAGTTCACACTCTGTCTTGCTCTTGTGCCTTTAAGTATGCTGTACCCTATTCATAAAATGCCCTTTCCCTTGTTCAGTTGGGTGAATTCTCAGCCTTTCTTCAAGCTGAATGCTTGCTCTTCCATGGCTCCTCCTGGATGGGCCAGTGGACCCCTCCCCAGGGATCCCAAGACCTTGTGCAGTTCCAATGGACAGCGAGTCACTTAAGGTGTGGCAGCTGTCAGAGTCATCCAATCATCTTTGTATCTGCAGCCCCTACAATCCTAGACTCAATATATAGTTGCTAAATAGCACAGAAATTGCCGTGTAACTTTCTTTACACCCTCTGCTTTCTTCCAGGGCCCTGTCCACAAAACATCCTCCTCCCTCCTTTTCCCTCACGCCCCCAGCTTGTTGCCTTACCCTTTAACTTCCTGACCTTCACCATGAAGTGGGCGGAGTCTGCCACTCTCCTGTAAAAACCTGTTAGAGGATGGGTGGCAGGATGTTCAGCATCTTGGCAACAGCAGCAAGAGAGGAAAGATTGTTAAAGCTCTTACCTTTTTCTTTTTTCCTTTTTGGACAACACCATACTATAGTTATAGGAGCCTTCTTGTGACCTTCCTCAGCCTTTGAAGGCAGTCAAGACTGAGGGAAACATAGAGGAGCAGACATCCTTTTAAAAATATTTTCATTACTGCCAGCCTAGGAGCACCAGCTCTTCTGCACTTAGCATCAGTATCCAAACATGCTGTTATTAAGAGAGAGAAAAGGGGACCCAGGAGATAGCCTGTCACTCACTCACAGAAAGAGACAGTAATTCTTATTCAAAAGGAAGTCATTTGGGACAGATGAGTGGGAAAGAAAGTCCTAAACATTTTAGTCAAAGAACCCAAGCGTCCTACACTTCTTCTGTACCTTAAGAGAAGGTTCCTGACCCTAGCCCACCAGAATTCTCAGGAGAGCTTGCTTCAGACGTATTAGAATTTGGGGGTCGTTATTTCTTTCAGCTGCATTGTCAATACTTCCTAGAAGAGTTCCTGTCCCTACCCTCCCACCCCTAAAACTGGGTTGCACGAGTGTTTTGTGGGTCCCTTTACTTACGTACACCACCACACATAAGAAATAATTTAATGCCATGATTAAAAGCCCTAACTTGATCCTGATCCAAGTGTTTCTGCCATTTAATGGCTGTGCAACCTTGGGTAAGTTACTTAACCTCTCTGTACATGGCTATGCAATCTTGGGTAAGTTACTTAACCTCTCTGTGTATCACTTCCTAATCCATAAGATTTCAATAATATCCATTTGGTAGGAATATTGTGAAGAATTAGTGAGTTAATCACACAGTTTGGTTTCAGTAGCACCTGCACACAGCACCTTGTGCACACTACAACTTTCACTCTGTGTCATAGATTTTATTGTTTGACCCTGGGACCACTAACCTGAGTTATTTGAGGCCAGGTGCTATTTTCTGTGTTGCTGCTGTAACTCTCTGCCTCTGGGCATAGTGCACGGCCCAGAGATCATGCTCCATAAATGTTTGATGACTTGATGAATGTTGAAATACAAGTATATATTGTATGTAATAAATGATTGATAAAATTGATAAATAAAAGCAATAAATGACTGAATAAATAAATGAGGGAGAAGTGACATATCTCTCTTTCAGAGGAATAATTTATATAAATACGGCATCCTCAAGAAAGAGCATAACTCCCAACTCCTTAAGTGTGGGCTGTGCATAGTGAATTTATCCCAAAGAGGAAAGGATGCAGAGGAAGAAAAACAGTAACTTTATGGTGGACAAATCTGACAAACACTACATTAGACAAGCAATCAAGGTCAACATCAACAGTGATGAGTCATGTTCATAGTATACAGCCTTCATTCAGTGTGATGAAAGTGTTATTTTACTTCCCCGAACCCACTTATAGCCCCCAAACAAATGATGAGGAAAACATCTAGGAAACTCAAATCAAGGGATATTCTATGAAATTCCTGACCAATAATTCTCAAAACTGCCAAGGTCATCAAAAATGAAGTCTGAGAAACCATCACAGCCAAGAGGAGCCTAAGGAGACCCCATGACCAGATGTAATGTGTCTTGAATGAGATCCCAGAACAGAAAAAGGACATTAGATAAAAACCAAAGAAGTCCAAATAAAGAATGGACTTTAGTTAATAATGACATGTCAGTGTTGCTTCATTCATTTCGTCAAATGTACCATACTGACATACAATATTAATAGGGGAAACCGGCCAGGCGTGGTGGCTCACACTTTGTAATCACAGCACTTTGGGAGGCTGAGGCGGATGTGGATCACCTGAGGTCAGGAGTTGGAGACCAGCCTGGCCAAAACAGCGAAACCCCATCTCTACGAAAAATACAAAAATCGGCCTGGTGTGGGGGTGCAGGCCTGTAATCCCAGCTACTCGAGAGGCTGAGGCAGGAGAATCGCTGAAACCCAGGAGGCAGAGGCTGCAGTGAGCCAAGATCACACCACTTCACTCCAGCCTGGGCGACAGAGCCAGAGTCTGCTCAAATAATAATAATAATAATAATAATAATAATAATAATAATGGTAATAATAATAGGGGAAACTACATGCGTTGCATACAGGAACCTTCTGCATGCCTGATGTCATGAGTAGATGCCTGGCCTGGAGGTCATAATCTTCCCATGTGACCTTGGGTCAATCATAACCCCTCTCTTATTTGTAAAATGAGAGGATTACATTGATTATCTTGAGGTATTTTCTGATAAACTCTAATGAACTATATATAATTCTATGACCTAGAGCAAGGGTTGGAAAACTATTTATGGAGAGAACCAGAGAGTAAGTATTTTAGGAATTAATAGCCATTAGTTCTTGGTCACAATCACTCAACTTTACCCTTGAAGTGTAAAAACAGCCAGTGATGATACATGGCTGCGTTCCAATAAAACCTTACTACAGTCATGCACCCATAACCATGTTTTGGTCAAATGAACTGCAAATATGAAAGTGATAAGAGCAATAGGCTATGCCATATGGCCTAGGTGTGTAGTAGGCCATGCCATCTATGTCTGTGTAAGAACACTCTATGATCACACAATGACAAAAATCACCTAACGACTCATTTCTCCAAATGTGTCCCTGTCCTTAAGCAACCTGTGACTGTACTGACAAAAATAGAAGGTGGACCATATTTGGTCTGCAGTTCATAGTTTTCTGATCCTTGTTCTAGACTAGTGGTTCTCAATACTTGCTTTTAAACAATGGCAATGCTCTCAATACACTGCTATTTAATTTCTCTGGAGTGTTGTCTGGATGTAAATTTTTTTTTTTTTTGAAACAGAGTCTGGCTCTGTCTCCCAGGCTGAAGTGCAGTGGTGGGATCTCGGCTCACTCCATCCTCCACCTCCTGGGTTCAAGTGATTCTCCTGCCTTAACCTCCCGAATAGCTGGGACTACAGGCACGTGCCACTGCACCTGGCAAATTTTTTTGTATTTTTAGTAGAGATGGAGTTTCACCATTTTGGCCAGGATGGTTTTGATCTCTTGACCTTGTGATCTGCCTGCCTCGGCCTCCCAAAGTGCTGGGATTACAGGCATGAGCTACCATGCCTGGCCCCTGGATGTAAAATTTCTAAAAACTCGTAAGATTCTAGAGTGTAGCCAGGAAGAATCCCACTTATCTATAAGGATCCAAGAGGATTTTATGGATGGGTTATAAGATAAGTAACTGAAAGTTGATTAAGGAGGTGTTCTTATAGACAAAAAGGAAATAGAATTGGGACACTGAGTTTACTAAAAATGGAATACCACCACTTCACGTCCTCTTCATTACTCAAGGCAAAAAGCTAATGACCACCAGTTCCAACAACCCAAAACAAAAAAGTTTCTATTCTCTAGCATTAGTTTCAGAAATTTCTAACAGGGAAAATTTCTTATAGGCTATATCATACCCAATATTCTGTCTTTGAATACTGGGTTTTAATTTTTGCAGGCATTACGATCCAAACATTTTGTGGGTAACTGTATTTGCTGCCTTTCACTAATTGTAACCTTGCTGTTTTTGTTTTATGCTCCTACCAAACACTTTTAGTGGTCTTCCCATATTTAGTATTTCCTGCTTGATAACTCTAATGTTTTAGTCTATTTTCAGTTGCTATAAAGGAATACCTGAGCCTGGGCAATTTATAAAGAAAAGAAGTTTATTTGTTTCATGGTTCTTCAGGCTGTACAAGAAGCATGGAGCTGGCATGTTTCTGATGAGGGCTGCTTAAAGCTTCCAATCATGGTGGAAAGGGAAGGGGAAGCAGCCACATGACAAGAGCAGGAAGCAGAGAGGAGGAAAGAGAGAGAGGGGAAAGAGTGACCAGACTCTTATTAACAACAGAGCTCACAGGAACTAATAGAGTGAGAAGTCAGTCATTACCTTGAGGACAGCACCAAGCCTTTCATGAAGAATCTGCCCCATGACCCAAACTCCTCCTACCAGGCCCCACCTCTAACACTGGGGACCAAATTTCAACATGAGATTTGGAGGAGACAGATATCCAAAGTATACCTTCTAAGTTTATTTCAGGTTTAAAAAATCACACTCCCTAGCCTCTCTGCAGCCAATAACATCCACAACACAGTTTTGGCCAAATGGATATAAGTAGGTGTTGCTTGGAGGGGCTTACCAGGGAAGCTTTTTAAAGGGTGAGCCTATCAACTGACTTTGTTCTGCTCTTTGTTTATCTTTCCCTCTTTTGGACTGTGGTTGTGATGCTAGAGTGGAGTGACCATCCTGTGACTGAGAAAACAAACAATGGGATAAGCTCACAGTAGCATAAGCAAACAATAGGATAAGCTACAGATGACAAAGAAGAAAGCTGGAAGGATCCTGTACCCCTTGTGGCATCCTGGAACCATCATACCTACCTTGACCACTTTGTACCTCTGATGGATTTTGGCACATTCGGACTTGTTGAATGTTCTATTTGCCAGATTGTCTACTAATCACAGTGGAATACTATCTTAATTCTAATCTTTCATTTCCCTAATTAGGCTGTGAGCTCCTAGAGCTCAAACATTGCACTTTATAGGTTTCATGCAGTCCCTGCAGTGTCTAAAATGTACTGGCAAGAAATGAGTATGATATTAATCTACTTATTTATTTGGTAAGGAGTAAGAGGGTATTTGGGTGAAATATGATTCTGTACCAATATGACCTAAATTAAAGTTTCCTGTTGATCCCCATAGCTTTGGAGAACCTTCACTGTAATGGGCTAAGCACCTCCTACTTACCAGTGCCCCAAGATATGGCGTTGCTTCTGAATTGCCTCTTAAAATTCTCATTGACTCGTCATTTAGCATTAGGTAAAGTATAATAATAATAAAATTTTAAAAAAAATTCTCATTGATCTGTGAACTTTATAATGTCATGAAGATCAAAGCTTGCACATCCGTCACATCTCTCTGGCACCTTTCTGGCAAGTGGATGATTAACTGAGGATCAGTATTATGACATCATCTTTCACAGTTCCTTTACTGATATTTCTGGAAAAGTACATCCCAGAATAATTCACAAGACAAAATTGAAAATGCATCTGCTATGTCTCTAAGGGATGATGTTTGGGAACTTGGAGGATTCTGAATCTAATAGGAGAAATGCAAGAACATCAATAGACAGATGTCCATTCCAATTTGACTGGCATAATGTTCAGTGAGTAAATGGTATATGGTTTTGCCCAGATGCTGAGAACATCCAAGAGTCTTTGCCATGCTGTATATGCATGAAAAGAATCATTTCCCAGGGGGCTCTCAAATGGCCATCATGGTTTTGTTTTGTTTTGTTTCAGTTGAAAAGATGTTCTCTCTCATGTCAACCAAGGAATCAAATATGAACTCTTACTTCTACAAAAGCAAAATTATAAGGTCACTGAGATTCTCACGTTCTCCTTCTTAAAGGGTATGGTTGACAATCTCTAAGAAGATCCCAAAGACTCCTCTCTTCTGTTATGCAGTCCTTAAGTAATCTCATCTCCTTCAGTGTAAATTTGATCTAGGGACTGACTCTTAACAAGTAGGACATAGCAAAAGCAATGAGATGTCACTTCCAAGGCTAGGTTACAAAAAGAATGTACAGCTTTCCTTACTTGCCTTCTCTTGCTTTCTTTTTCTTTTTCTTTTCTTTTTTTTTTTTTTTTTTGAGATGGGCTCTCACTCTGTCGCCCAGGCTGGAGTGCAGTGGTGCGATCTTGGCTCACTGCAACCTCTGCCTCCTGGATTCAAGCTGATTCTCCTGCCTCAGCCTCCTGAGCAGCTGGGACCACAGGCGCCCGCCACCAGACCTGGCTAATCTTTTGTATTTTTAGTAGAGACAGGGTTTCATGTGTTAGCCAGGATTGTCTCGATCTCCTGACCTCATGATCTGCCTGCCTTAGCCTCCCAAAGTGGTGGGATCACAGGCATGAGCCACTGCGCCCAGCCTCTCTTGCTTTCTCTCATCTGCTCTGACAAAGGCCAGCTGCTGCGTTGTGATCTGACTTGTGGAAAAATCCAGCAAGGAATTGATGCTTCTGTCCCACAACCAGCGAGGACCTGAGTTCTGTCCACAGCCACATGAGTGAGGTTACACTGCCTCTTCTCCAGTTGGGCCTTCAGATTGCTGCAGCCCAACTGACACCTTAAGTGCAGCCTCATTAGAGATTCTGTGTCAGAGCTTCCTAATTAAGCTGTGCCAGTTCCCTGACCCATAATAACTGTGAGATAATAAATGCCTGTTATTTTAAAGCATTAAGTTTTGCAATGCAATAGATAACTAATACAAAGTAGAAGGTGACTTCATACATAAAGTACACATTGATTTCTATTGGTTCCAGAGAAATGAATTAGAGAAACATCTTGCAGCTCCAGCTTCATGCTTATCATCCATATTTAAGAAACAGGAAGCATACAACATGAAATAGAAACGCACTCATGCGGCTGATAGCTTCTTTCAGCCCAGGTGATGAAAATACGAGATATTTCAGAATGTGTCACTTGGCCACTGCACCATTCAGGAAAAAGTGACAAATATAAAAGTATTTTTTTAGAATTTTTTTAGCAGAATATGCTGTTCAAGAAGGTGATTGTGAAATATCATCAAAAATACGCATTCTAATTTTGACAAAAGTGAAAAAGTGTGTTTGCGCTTAGTAAGAAATAATATTTAACAGTCTGTGTGCATTCCAACCTGGAGAAAGGGGAAAATGGTTTCTATTTTATTAAAGTATGTTACTGGCTTCCTGAGATATCTCTTTTCCTGTTGGCCTGGAATATGTGATGACTTCTTCAAATAAAGGCAAAACTGAGATGTCTTCTCATGGCGTTACCTCCACTTTCTGAAGGCATCTAATCCAAACCAAAGCCTCAATTCTTTTAACATTCCCCAAAAGTACTTCACACGACCTCAAATCCTGTAATTTGCCCCTTTCAGCATTTTCATATTGAGAAGCCCGAAGGACCCCCATCGGGTGTGTTCTCTGCTGTTGCAACGAGTCAGTAAACTTAAATCTGCCCAATAACAAAGATCAAAGATTTTCTGTGATCTTTAGGCTTTGTTTCTAGTGTTTAAACAAATGAGAGGTTCTTTTATTGTTTATTTATTTATTTGGCCGTACCACAAATATTAAATGACACATATCTTTTTTTTTAACCAAACCCCAAAGAAACTTATGAGGAAAACAAAATACTGCAGTAATTCAATATTAGCACCACTGCTAATAATCCATTAGTAATAATTGTTGATTGCAACAGGGCCATACTCAGTGAATTCCCAGACTCTTCAACCACAATTCCATGTTTTTCTTTCTTCCTCTAAAAAATATTCCAGGGAATTTTTTTTATAGATTAATTTATTCTGCTTTGTATGAAAAGGTAAATCTCAATTTTTTATACTCCAAGGTAGAATAGACGCCATCAATTGCTTTAATTTTTTTTTCTTTCCACCCATATCTTTAGCTACTTCCTTTAGAACTAGATCCTCTAATTTTCTCTGGAGGAACCACCTTCCGCTTCCCTCCCACCCAATTGCATTTAGCCTTCGTAGAACCATCCTTGAAGACAAGAATATGACTCAGGCCAAACCCATTGGATTCTTAGAATTTGAATCTTAATTGGAGAGTCTCAAGAATCAAAATTGTTTTCCAGCCTCTGGTTTCTCCAAGACTACCATATATACTGTTCTTCTTGAGATTTTCTGAGCTCTTTATTCAGAGGCTAACCACAAGAATACAAGGAGCTAGGGTGAGAATCAAAAGCGACTAATGTCACAGAAATCTGGGGAAGATTTTAAAGAAGGAAAAGTGGTAAGTGCCCCAAATTCTGCTCAGAGGTCATGACAGGAAATTTGGAGCTATGCAGCCAAGTAGCCACCTGAGAGGACCATCATGCCCAAGCTTGTGATTCTCTGCAGACAATTATGAGAATGGGAATAAGCCCACCCCTACGTCTCCATCAATGAGCTGAAGCAGTGTGTGTGTAACCAGCTTCCCCGAATCTTCCAATCTTCGCATTAGGAACATTCCCACTTACCTGATACATTTATTTTTTTCTCCTTCTATTCAGTAATTTGTAACCTACAGCATAGGGAGCTGAAAAATAAGCCCTGAAACTAAATGTAAATACTTAGGACAAGATTGAAACAATATATTAGGAAATTACATCCACAGTCTTCCGCTTCACCCAACACTCCCTGATTTACCCAATCCAATTTGGTCTTGTTTAGGACTTTGAGGTATGAGGTAACATTGATTACTCCAACAATGTAACAATAAAATGTAACTTGTTTTGAAGAAAATGAAGAAAAATGACAGCTTCTTAGTGCCAAAACTGGCCTCTGGACACCAAATTCAGCCTGAGAAGTTACCCATATGCCCAGAAGCTTTCATTTGCGAGGAAAACTGAGACCAAGTGGATTTCAGAGTAATAAAAAATAAAATAGCTTAAGTCTCATAGGATATACCATAATCACAAGGCAGCTGAATTACTTCTGAGGCTGCAGGCCAGAGATTTTTACAAGGAAACTCCAACTACATGGGAGAGTTAAAGGATTATTCCTCCAGGCAAAAACTGAACCTTTCAGACAGGCAAGTAATGAAAAGCAGCAACCACCATACACATGCACACATGAAAACTTACACACATACACACACACATGCACATATATACATATACATGCATATGCACATGCAGATGGACACAAACGTGTATACATGTACACATGCATATATGTGCATATACACGCCCATGCACACACATACACACACACACACTCATTTGTGGCACTTTCATTTTTTGGTAATTATTAATTTTAATGTGAACTTCAGCTTGTATTTCTTTCATTTCTTGTAGGTAAATACCTAGGAATGGTGGTGATGGGTCATATGGTGAGAATATGTTTAACTTTCTTTTCTTTCTTTTTTTTTTTATTTTGAGATGGAGTCTCGCTCTGTCGCCCAGGCTCGAGTGCAGTGGCGTCATCTAGTCTCACTGCAAGCTCCGCCTCCCGGGTTCACCCCATTCTCTTGTCTCAGCCTCCCGAGTAGCTGGGACTACAGGTGCCTGCCACCATGCCGGGCTAATTTTTTGTACTTTTAGTAGAGACAGGGTTTCACCGTGTTAGCCAGGATAGTCTCGATCTCCTGACCTCGTGATCCGCTCGGCTCGGCCTCCCAGAGTGCTGGGATTACAGGCGTGAGCCACCGCGCCTGGCCAAGATTATGTTTAACTTTCTAAGAAATTGCCCAACTGCTTCCCTAGGTGGCTGTTCCATTTAAACCCCACTAGCAACACATGATATTTCCACTGACAGCCCTGGCCATTCACACATTAAAAACTAATAGCCATTCGAATAGGTACGTGGTGGTAGCTCACTGTGAAATTATTTCCATTTCTGTAGTGACCAGTGACGTTGAACAACTTTTCATTTGTTTATTTACCATCATCAGTCGGTATATCTTCTTTGGTGAAATGTCTATTCAAATATTCTTCCCATTTTTAAATTGGGTTATTTATTTTCTTATTGTAGGGTGGGAAGTTTCATATATATTTTCAATCAAGTCCTTTATCATACACCTGTTTAATAAATATTTTGTCCTAGTCAGTATCATTTCAACATTCTTTCAACAGAATCTTTAGAAAAGAAGAAGTTTTAAAATTTAATGAAGTCCAATCTGTATTTTTTATATTTTGGTGTCATATGTAAAAAAAATCTTTGCCTAACCTAAAGACATTTTCTTATGTTTCCTTCTGGAAGTTTTATATTTCTACATTGTAAACTTAGGTCTAGGATCCATTTTGAATTTTTATAAGGTGTAAAATAAGGGTTAAGGTACATTTCTTTCTATGAATGTTTATTTATTCTACAACCATTTGTTGAAAAGACCATTCTTTATACTTTGAATTGCATTTGAAGCTTTGACAAAAATCAATTTATCATACATGTGTAAGTCATTTCTGAACTCCATTTCATTCTATTGACAAATATGTGCATTAGTTTGCAAATGCTACTCTGCCTTAATTATTAGAGCTACATAGTGAGTCTTAAAATCAGATAGTGTGACTGCTCCAACTTTGTTCTTCTTTTAAAAATTGTTTTGGCTATTCCATTTCTTGCCTTTTAATATAAATTTCAGATCTATCTTGTAGATATTGCAAAAAAATGCCAGTATATTGATTCTGATTGCATTATATATACAGATTATATAAGGGAGAATTAACATTTCAAAAGTTTGTGAACATGGTATATACCTCAATATTTTGGTTTTACTTTTTTGTTAATGTTTTAAAGTTTTCAGCTTGTAGAGCCTGCTCATATTTTCTAGGTTTATACCTAGGAATTTCGCTATCCTTTGCTATCGTAAAAGGAATTGTTTGGTTAATTTCTATTTTCAATATTCATTGTTAGAATAAAGGAATATACTTAATCTTTGCGATCTTTGTGTATTTTCCTTGTATGCTGTGACCAAATTAAACTCATTTACAAGTTCAGTTGCTTTTTGGAGATTCTCTGATATTTTCTATGTAAACAATCATGTTATTTGTGAACAGTGGGGTTTTTTTCTTCCTTTCCAGTAAGTCTGTGATATATTTCTCTTTCTTGCCTCATTGCACCAAGTTCTCCAATGTGATGTTGAACACTGATTACAGTGAACACTCGCTTTGTTCTGGATTTTATGAGGAGAGCATTCAGCCTTTCACCTTTAAGATCAATGTTAGCTGTAGGTTATTTTAGATGACTTTTATAAGACTATGGGACTTTTTTCTATTCCTAGGTTGTAATTTTTTTTTATCATGAACAGATTGTTTTTTCAATCTGTTTGGGTAATCAAATGCTTTTTTCTTTTTTGGTGTGATAAATTACAATAATTGATTTTTGAGTACTAAAACAACCCTTTACTCTTGGGTATAGCCAACGTGGTCATGATGTATTACCATTTTTGTATATTCCTGAATTCTATGGATCACAATTTTGGTGAGGGTTTTTTGCTTCTGTGTTCATGAGGGACGATGAGGTTTGCATAATTTCCCAAAATATGGTTTATCATGCTGAATACTTCACTTGCACCTGAAAAAAAAATGAATAGCTGTTGTTGAGTGAAATGTTAGATAAATATCAATTGCATCAAGGTGGTTGATAGCATTGCTCAATAATTATTAATAATTGTAAATCGTTACTAATTTCCTATCTACTTTTTCTTTCAATAACTGAAAGAGGAGTATTAAATTGCAAGTATAGCTGTGGACTTTGCATTTCTCCAATTATTGCTCTTTTCAGTTCTATTACTGGTGCTTTATATGTTTGGAAAGTCAGTTTTTAGGAACGTGCTCATTTAAGATCGTTACATCCTCTTGGTGAATACACTCCTTTGTAATTGTCTAACGTTATTCTACCCCTGGAAATATTTCTTGTGAATTTCAGTTTGTCTGATATTACCACTGTGGTTCTGGCTTTCATTTCACTTGTATTTTAATTGTATATTTTTTCTTTTTGTCCTTCTACCTTTAATCTACCTAAATCTGTATGTTTAAAGTGGCTTTCTTGTAGATAACATGTAATTGCCTTTTTATCCAATCTGAAAATCTGTCTTTTAATTCGTATTTTTAGACCATTTACATTTTGTGTAATTATTGATATGGTTAGCTTAATATCTACCATCTTGCTATGTATATTCTATCTTTAATTTGTTTCTTCATTCCTCATTTTCTTGAGTCTGCTCTTGGGTAAAAAACTATTTTTTATATACTTTTCATGTTCACTATTGGCTTTTTCAAAATTTATGTTTTAAAATGCATGTTATTATATCTCTTTTAAAATTTATGTTTGTGTTTTCCATAAGATCTACAATACAGATATGTAATTAATTGCAGACCATCTTTAAATAATATACCACTTCCCATGTTGTGTAAGAGCCTCACAACAGCACACTCTTAGTTGCTTTCTCTCACCTTTCATAGCATTGTCATTCAATTTACCTTTATATGTGCTAGCAGAATACCAGCAATTCCTTACTAGTATTTCACTCTAGACAGTAACTTATTGTTTAGCACAATTCAAATTAAAGAAAAGGTCTTGTATATTAGCCTTTATTAACTATTATCAGGGGTATCCATTTCTTTGTGTACATTTCTGTCTGATATCTTATTCCTTTTATCTGAATAATTTCCTTCAACGTTTCTTGTATTGCAGATATGCTAATAATTCTATAGTTTTCTTTTAAAAAGTTATTATTTTATGTTTTAAAAGATGTTTTATCTGCACATAAAATTCTGGAACTGACAGCTTCTCCCCTCCCCTCCCCTACCCCCAAATTTTAAAGATCTCAAGCCATTGTTTACTTGTTTGTATAGTTTATGATGAGCAGTCTGCTTTGATACCGAACATTGTTTCATATGTAATCTGTCTTTTCCTCTGATTATCTTTATTTTTGTTTCAAGCAATTCTTAAATATGATTTTTGTCACACACCTCTTAGGTACTCTAATACTCACCCCTCTCTTTTTCCTATTTGTGTTTTAGTATGAGCAATTTCTATTGATCTAGCTTTGAGTTCACTGATTCTTTTTTTGGCTGTATAAGTCTAATGATAGAACTGTTAAAGGCAGTCTTCATCTGTTACCTCTTTAAAAATATCTCTAGGATGTATATCTGACTTTTATAGTTTCCATATTATGCTGAAACTCTCTATATGTTCATGTTTGTTGTCCACTTCTATTATTACAGACTTCAGCACATTAATCATATTTATTTTTAATTTTTAAATAATTTCAGCACATAAGTTAATTCTGAGTCTGGTTTTGTTGACTGGTTTGTCTCTTTATAGTGGGCTGTTTTTGTTTGCACTGGTTTTCTATATGTCTCATCATTTTTGGTTAAAAGCTGGACATCATTTGTGGGACTGTAGAGATTGATTAATTATTATCTATACTTACAAATGAGGGCATTTCTTCTGCTGCTTAGGGTCAGGTTGAGTAAATCTAATCAGGAGTTAAGCTGGGTTTGGGTTTTCCTGTTGCTGTAGTTATCACTGGCTTCAAATTTTTAAGGTGTTAGCCAGTACTTATTGTGGGGATTTGTTTGCCAAAGGATTTTTCTCAGCATTCCTTCTCCGCCCTAAGCTTTAGTCATTCCCTGTGCACCCAACCACTTAGTTTGTCTCTACCCATGTTCTGGTCTCTTCCCCAACAGTAAGGGAGAGTAATTATTGCTGTTACTGCTGGTAGTTGGAGGTGAGAGAGTCCTTGTCCTTCTGATCTAGCCTCAGACTTACACGTTCTCTTCATTCTCAAGTTTGAAAGAGGAGCTTCCTCGGTCATTTGCTTTTTCTTTCTGTGTTATGGATTGAATGTTTTTGTCCCCCCTCCCCAAATTCATATATTGATGTCTTCACTCCTAATAACATGGCATTAGGAGATGGGACATCTGGAAGATAATTAGGGTTAGATGAGGTCATGAGGTTGGAACTCCCATGATGAGATTATTGTCACTGTGAGAAAAAAAAAGAGAGATCGGAGCTCCCTCTCTCTCTATGCCATGTGACAACACAGTGAGAAGGTGGCTGCCTGAAAGACAGGAAGAGAACCCTCCCCACAAAACAACCATGCTGGATCTTGAACCTAGACTTTCCAGCCTCTAGAACTGCAAGAAAATAAATTTCTGTTATTTAAACCAACAACCTATGGGGTTTTGTTATGTCATCCTGAGCTAACTAATACTCTCAGTGTTATAGATGTCTAATGTTTCGACCCAGGGTGGTTTCCTTCTCTCCCTCAAGGCTAGAGAATCTTTTCATTGATATTTCCCAAGCACAAAAGTTCTTTACCTGTGTCCTGGGTATAATAGACTTTTTTTTTTTTTTGAGATGGAGTCTCACTCTGTCTCCCAGGCTGGAGTGCAGTGGCACAATCTCGGCTCACTGCAACTTCCACCTCCCGGGCTCAAGAGATTGTCCTTTCTCAGCCTCCTGAGTAGCTGGGATTACAGGTGCCCGCCGCCATGCCTGACTCATTTTTTGTATTTTAGTAGAGACAAGGTTTCACTGTGTTGCCCAGGCTGGTCTTGAACTCCTGAGCTCAGGCGATCTGCATGCCTTGGCCTCCCAAAGTGCTAGGAGCTACCGCACACACCTGGCCTATAATAGACTTTTCTTCCCTTCCCACAGAGGATTTTCTTTTCTTTTCTTTTCTTTTCTTTTCTTTTCTTTTCTTTTCTTTTCTTTTCTATTCTTTCCTTGTCATTGTTGTTCTTTTGGGGGAAAGGAATAGGGTAGGTCTTTGCTTGGGGCTGATTCAAGAACTAGCCCTATGACTCACTGATAGTACAAATGTAGGGAAAGTACTTAACCTCTGTAAGCCTTGGTGTCTTCACCACTAAAATGGGGAAAAGTAATAGTGTTTACCTCTAGGACTCTCGTGAGTATTAAATCAGATAAAAGCCTGTAAAGCATTTAAAATATTTCCTTGACACACAGAGTACTTACATCTTTAGTATTCAGTAAAAATATATTATATTATGTGGGTTTTAAAATGTTCATTTACTTCTAGCCCCTTCATCTGTTTTGCAATGAACCAATGCTATTTTAAAACCATTCAGTGCTTATGCAAGGCAGGGAATACCAAGGCTTTTGTGTTTGTGATATGCTTTTAATAGAGAGTAAGCTTATTTTCTGAAAAGAATAAATTCCAGAAAATCAAAAATAATTTAAAAATTGCATAATCCTAGTTTATTCCTCATAAAGAGTAGCAGGTGTAGCCTTTTATTAGTCAAACTAACATAACCACTATAACAACTGAATCTGTACATTTTAAAGCTCTACACTTGTAATGAGTCATTATATCTTGAAAAACAAGTGATATTTTATTAATATATTTGTATATATTATTATTATCAAAATTCAGCTTTACACCAAATATCAAATTCTGTATTAAATCTGAGTTTCTGCCTAACTTTTCCAGAGGCTTTTATTTAAATTTCAAAGAAGCATACATTAAGCTTCTAAAATGTTTTCCAAGCTGCCCCTAAACTTGGAAGAACTTTTCTTCTTGCATAGGCAGTCATGGAACCATGTTCCAGAGGGTGAGGCCCTTGAATTTCCTTGTTCATACAGGCTAATGGGGGCCTGGAAACAAATCTGAATTTTGGGAGAGTTCAGGACAATTTTAGAACCTACATAATCCCTCTCATCTTACCTGAAGAAAGTTCACTTAGCATCAACATGGCACTCCCTACAGCTTCTGAGGTCCCTGAGCAGTAGCTTAGCCTCTTCCAACACACACACCTACAAACACATGCCCATGCATTTTGACAAGTGTAATCCTCTTCAGTTGCTGATGGGTCACTGAGACTTATATCTGAGGGAGGTCTCTAGAAGGAGAACATCTTTTCACACTTTCAAACTCCATTCTAACGGTCAAGATATTGGTACTATCCAATTTTGCTTAGGGGATAGGAAAACAGATTCCATCTCACCCTTCTGGTGGGAAATTGACCTAACTTTGTGAAAACCTTTTAACAATATTTATAACTTTAAAGTGTATACTAATCCACCTTCAAGGACATATCCAATTTATATTTTTCAATAGCAACCAACACTATAGGCCCAAGGATATTCATTGCTGCATTAGTTTAAGGAAATACAGTTGGAGCAGGTCTTTGCAGAAAGCAATATTAGCCATTCAGCAGAAATGATGAATATTGACTTGTGTGGTAACGATGGCCTTATTCATTCATTTGAAAGATTTTTATTGGGGGCCTATTAGGAATCAGGAATAGTTCCTGTCATCAGAGTTACTACTCTGAACAAAACCGGTATGATTTCTTCTCTCTTGGAGCTTATCTCATAATGGGATGGAAAGAGCAATAAGCAATCAACAAAGAAATAGACACAATAATTTCCAATCAAGGCACATGCTATGAAGGAAGTTAAAGGGTGATGTAGTAGGAAATGACTGTGTGGAACAAGTTGGACTGGAAGGCTGCTTAGAGAGGATCATGTGTCTGAGGGGAGGACTGATGCTGAGAAGGAGTCAGCCATGCCAAGATCTGGGGAAAGAAGGTTCCATACCCAAAGAATTAGAGCAGGTGCAAAGGCCCTGAGGCTGGAGAGATGGGAAGAAACCAGTGTGATTGGTGCACAAAAGCCAGGGGTTACTTTAGCCAATCTTGGGGCAAAGGGAAATGAAAAGGCACATCTAGACACAGTCATACAGCCTGCAATTTCCAACCTGGTTCATTAGCTTAGAGAAAGCCCAGTCCGCATCAGGGTCTCAGAATTAACCTAGACAGTACCATCATTGCTCTACAAGGGCTTTTGGGTGGGAACAGTAGAGAATGCAAGGGGAAGTCAGATTCTTACCCTTGAAGACCCAATAAGTACGAGGAGAGCAGTTTCATGCACACGGTATGCTCAGTAAATGGTCCCGCCAGATGATCAACTGTAGTTCTAGTAAACTATAATAAACGTGATCACAAACGTTTGCGCAGTTTAGTTCCATATTACTGGAAAGCCAAGGTAAGGGCATCTGACCCGTAACCTTTTCTGACCTTTAAAGGATTATCAGATGTATTTACCTAAATAACATTGGAGATGTTAGAAACTTTCCAATGATTGGTTTGACCCTGATGGTTTGCTTATCAGCCTTTAAGTTAAAATTCTCAAGGCCTGAGTTTAAAATAATAATAGTGTTTTATGCATGCCCCTTTGTTTTTTTTCGTTTTGTTTTGTTTTGTTGTGTCTCGTTTTGAGATGGAGTCACACTCTGGCGCCCAGGCTGGAGTGCAGTGGCACAATCTCGGCTCACTGCAAGCTCCAGCTCCTGGGTTCATGCCATTCTCCTGCCTCAGCCTCCTGAGTAGCTGGGACTACAGGCGCCCACCACCATGCCCAGCAAATTTTTTTTGTATTTTTAGTAGAGACGGGGTTTCACCATGTTAGCCAGGATGGTCTGGATTTCCTGACCTTGTGATCCTCCCACCTCAGCCTCCCAAAGTGCTGGGACTACACGCTTGAGCCACTGCGCCCGGCCATCAGTTCAAATTTTAATCACATCCAGAAACACCCTCCTGAGCACACCCAGAATGATGTTTCACCAAATACCTGAGCACCTGATCGCCCAGTCAAGATGACCTGCAAAATTAACCATTATAAGCTCTAAGAGTGTGCTATAGTTTATCTCCAAAACTCATGTTGAAACTTGATCCCCAGTGCAATAATATTAAGAGGTGGCGCTCTTAGGAGGTCATTAGTTCATGAGGGCTTCTCTCTCATGAGTGGGATTAAGGCTGTATTTTTTTTGTTTTGTTTTGTTTTGTTTTTGAGATTGTGTCTCCCACTGTCGCCCAGGCTGGAATGCAGTGGCACGATCTTGGCTCACTGCAACCTCCACCTCTCAGGTTCAAGCAATTCTCCTGCCTCAACCTCCTGAGTAGCTGAGATTACAGGTGCGTGCCACCATGCCCGGCCGATTTTTATATTTTTAGTAGAGACGGAGTTTCACCATGTTGGCCAGGCTGGTCTTGAACTCCTGACCTAGTGATCCACCCACCTCAGCTTCCCAAAGGGCCCTTATTTTAAAAAGGTTTCACACAGTGTTCAGCCCCTTTGCCTTTCTGTTTTTCTCACATGTGAGAACACAACATTCATCCCCTCTGGAGGACACAGTGTTCAAGGTACCATCTTAGAAGCAGAGACTGGGGTCCTCACCAGACACCAAACCTGCTGGCACTTTGATGTTGGACTTCCCAGCCTCCAGAACTATGAGAAATACATTTCTGTTCTTTGCAAATTACACAGTCTCAGTTTTTTTGTTATAGGGGCACAAACTAAGACAGAGTGCAACCTAAAATATATGGGCCTTCTTTTTCACCTCCAAATACCTTTGCCTCTTTCAGTCCTGCACTGTTGCTATCAACTGGGGGTTGTGCAACAGAATGACTGCATGGGCCAGGCAGGTGATGTCCATGACAGATGTAAGCCTGGTTTAGAAACAACAGCAGAGCTGTGATGGTGCAGGGCCAGTTGCACACCTGACCCTGATGTCATGGGCACTGTTGGAAGTGAATTCCTATGAAAGTTTGATGCAGATTGTGTTATGCTCTGCTCAAAACCCTCCATGGCCTCTCATATCATTTAGGGTAAAAGCAATCAAATTATTTATAAGGGCCAAAAATTAGACCTGACCTGCTCTGATCCCCTCCCCATCCTAACTTCTAACTTGTCCAATTTCCTTCCACTTCCCCCCACCTTTCAGCCCTACCCACTGTACTCTACTTACTCAGTCTTTAGCCCCTCCAAAGATCAAACCGTTGCCATAAATTATATTATTAACATAGACTATCTGGTGTGGTCCAAGGTAGGTCAAGGGCCAAACTTTGAAATGTGCAGGGTTTGGACAACACAGGCCTGCTGAGTTAACCCTTATTTCTAACTCCAGTCATTGGCCCTTCACCATCCCTAGAATGAGCCAGAATTGTTCCTACCAAGGGCCGTTACATTCGTTCTTTCTTTCATCTGGAGCCCTTGTCCACCCAGAGAGACACATCCTTATGAAATATGAGTTATGCTCGGGTGTTTCTATCTCTCCTTGGGGAGAGACAGTAAGTTTAGTGGTAAACTTACTATTTTTTTTTTTTTTGCCTTGGGACTTATGAGCACCTGAAACATAGCATTTGTTTAAGCATTTATCATCTGTTTTCTCCCTTCTAGAATGGAAGCTTCTGGGGGCAAGGATCTTTTATGTTCACTGCTCTGTCTCAGAGATTAGACCAGTTCCTGAAACTTGGGAGATAACTAATGAATATTGGTGGAAAAAATGAATGAACAAATAAGTGAATGAAAATGGAAACTGTCATGGACTAATAAACTGCAAATCTATTCAAGGGGCCACCTGTGCTGTGTGCAGATCAGATGAAACATGACTATGATTTGAGGGCAGCTCAAGGGCTGCCAGGTTGCAGCATCTGCACTATCTTTTTAATGAAACAATCAACCAACTAATCAGTACCTATTAACCTCCTGTGCTTGGCCCAGGTCGAGATGCCGTTGTGTGGAGAGGGAGGAAAGGTACAAAATGCTCAGAGGCAATGGGAGCCTGCTTCAGCCTTTAATGAGCTCACTCTGCTTGGATTCACCATAAAGAAATGGAAAACAAATTAAGGCTATAAATGAGATAATGAAAAGGTGGCTCAAGGGCTGATGCCTATGAAGGGACAAGTTGTATTGATCTGATATAGAATTTTTAAAAATTGTGGTCAGTGGTCCTCAAGATTACCCTCAGGTTCAATAATTTGCTAGAAGGATGCACAAAACTCAAAAAAAAGCTATTGTATTCATAACTATGGTTTACTATAGCAAAATGATGCTGATTAAAATCAGGAAAAGTGAAAGGCATATAGGATAGAGTCTAGAAGAGACCACACACCAGCTTCAACCATGCTCAGCAATGATGTAAGGCAATGCACATGAAATATTGCCAACCAAGGAAGCACAGCTGATCCTTGGTGTTCAGAGTTTTTATTGGAGGTTGGCCACATAAGCATGCATGTGGCTGACCCTAGTTACTCAGTCTTTAGCCCCTCAAAGATCAAACTGATGCCATAAATCACATTATTAACATAGACTATCTGGTGTGGCCCAAGGCAGGTCAAGGACCAAACCCCACTTTGAAATGTTCAGGGTTTGGACAACAAAGGCCTGCTTGAGTTAACCCTTATTTCTAACTTCTCTTCAAAAACTGGAGATCTGTGGGCTGGGTGCGGTGGCTTATGCCTGTAATCCCAGCACTTTGGGAGGCCAGGGTGGGAGGATCACGAGGTCAGGAGATTGAGACCATCCTGGCCAACATGGTAAAACCCCGTCTCTACTAAAAAAATACAAAAAATTAGCCGGATGTGGTGGTGCATGCTTGTAGTCCCAACTACTCAGGAGGCTGAGGCAGGGGAATTGCTTGAACCCAGGAGGCAGAGGTTGCAGCTGAGATCATGCCACTGCACTCCAGCCCAGTGACAGAGCAAGACTCCATCTCAAAGAAAAAAAAATTGGAGATCTCTGACACCAGCCCTGCACCTCCACAAGGCAGCTCTCAGCTGGATAAGGAGCAGCTGTCCCCAGTCACATTTCACATCATCTGCTGGGTCCCTGGAGACCCTTGAGACCCTGGAGTTAACACCTTGAGATAATCCAGAGCTTTTACCATCTGAGTGCTGGCAGAGGAGCTAAGATAACGGAGGAGTCAACATGGTCTGAAGCAGCAGGGACGAGTTCATGCAAGAGGGAAAAATGAGGGGAGCACAGGGAGAATTCCTTAAAAACATCCTTCAAGTACAGAAGATTCCATTTTTTTAGCCAGCAAACAAAGCTTAGATTTTTATTCAGAAATCTTTGTAAGGAACTGGAACTGCTACTGTTGAAGCTCACTTATTTTTCTGTTGCCTGCTGGCCACAAATGAACAGAATAAATTGACTTAACAACATACCATGTTGTGCATGGTCATTTTTTCTATTTGCATTTTCATTTGTATTGATTGCAAAGATGCATCATGCCAAAATTTTCAATTTGACTGTGCTTTGATCTTATGAATCCACTTTCAAAGATGACCGTATGTCAGAGCCAGTCTTATAAGAGATGCTGAGACACAATAATGAAGAAATTGACATGTGATCCCCGAACAGAATGAGCTCACAACCTAAAGGCAGAAATGGGCATTAAACTATTAGTGACCTGTATAAGGAGCCCTGCCACTCCACCAGCATTGAGTTTGTTAGTTCAGCTCCAGGAAGGATAAGGTTAATTGAAGTATTTTGGGTTAATGGGGCCAATGTGGAGCGAGGTATAGGAGAGAGGCTGGGAAAGGTGAGAGTTCCAGAAAAGAGGGCTGGGCCGCATCTCAGAACAACCCGACCAGGGCTTTATTATAAGTCTCTGTATCCATTAAAATCTGAGAAAGCTAACAAAAAAATGTGTAATATTTTAAGTGCTTACATTTAACAAATTAATATGCTTAATTAATTATTGCATTTTTAAAAGCATATGCTCCAAAATATAATGATGGCCTTTTGACATAAAGTTAAGTGACTATATGTGAGGCCTTATTTGAGTTTTACACCTGCTTAAACATGTCTTCCCCACCTTCCTTCTCTCCTACCCTAATAGTACACTCTGGAAAATTCAGTTGCCTAGCTAAGACTCATATTGAGTCATTCCAGTCAAATATATGCCATCTCAAAAATGCTGATTGAAACCAGAATCTTAAAAAATAAATTATCATTAAATTAAAGTTGTAACATCTTTCCCTAGAGTATGAAGGCCACAGAACACATTGTTTTTGTAAACATCTGTCTGTGACTAACTCATAGACAAATCAGAAGGAGACTGGGCCCTCTCTTTTTGTTGTAACCTACAGGGTGGGATGGGACAAATAATCATCATATTATCACTTTCCATTACACCATCCTCCTATTTGGCATGGCAGTTTCAGGGACACTCCTGGAATCAGTTAACAGTGAAGTATTTATGTTAACAGGTGTCACAAAGTGTTTTCCAGATACTGTCTCATGGGAGACATGTAGCACATTTTTTTTTTTGAGACAGTCTTACTCTGTCGCCCAGTCTGCAGTGCAGTGGCACGATCTCAGCTCACTGAAAGCTCCGCCTCCCAGGTTCACACCATTCTCTTGCCTCAGCCTCCCGAATAGCTGGGACTACAGGCACCCGCCACCACGCCTGGCTAATTTTTTGTACTTTTAGTAGAGATGGGATTTCACTGTGTTAGCCAGGTCTCGATCTCTTGACCTCATGATCCACCCGCCTCGGCCTCCCAAAGTGCTGGGATTACAGGCTTGAGCCACCGCACCTGGCTAACATCTAGCACCTTTTAAATTCTGTCCAAGGCCCATGTAAAGTGACCAAATTCAACATTAAAATGAAAGGGATTTTGTTTTCCCTTTTCCAAATATAAAGATATGATCACACATAGAGTCTCTCTGCATGGAAAACTGAAATATCAATTATTTCCATATAGTTTTAGCTGTAAGCTTACAGGATAAGACCCTTACTTGCTACAGTGTTCTGGTCTAATGGAAACCAGGTAGGTGGTTCCTCCCACCATCAAATGCAGATGCTTTGACAGTCCCAGGTTAGAATTCACCACTTCACACTTGAGAAGTCACAGGGGATGACCCTCAAGTACTTAATTATCTCTCTTCCTTTCCAAAATGCTACTTAATGACATGCACACTTCCCTGCCAATCAAAGCAAGACTCTAACAGAAAGCCAAAATAATAGTGCCTTCCAAAGAAATGAGTTGATATCGTTCAGACTTTTGTTGCAACTCCTTCACACATCAAAACATTTCCATGCGGTGGCTGTACCCTCATGTTGCCTCTCTTCCATTCCCAAGATGACAGATTGGTAATAGAGAAGAGGTTTGGGGGTAATATGTTCAGTAAGTGTTAATGGATTGACCAAATGCTGAGGGAAGATTCTCATGTTAATGAGCATCTTCTTGGCGTTTAAAAAAAGGATCTCTGAAAGAGGCAATATTAGGAACAGTCACAAAATGTCCTTGCATCGCCTGACAACTGCAGGCAGAGACAGTGGTCGTCTTGGGTTCTTTGATGACGATGTAAATTGGACTCTATTTCAAACATCATCAATTATTTTAATCCTGCTAAGCAGAGCTTTTCAGAGTTTTCTCACCCTTCTTCATTCTCTTCCTGAGCGAGGTTGCTGAGTAAGAAGAGAAAAGAGGAGCATGGGAAGAAGCTCATCTACTCATAATGCTGCTTATATTTTCAGAATGTTTTCAGATCTGAGAGCTAATGCATAGTTCCCTGGGAATGTTAGAATAATATTAAGTGCACACACACACATACACACACAAGCACACACCTGTTCCGTGCCCTCCTCCTGGGACTTCCTCCAGGACCCACCCTATTCATGGTCCCCCTCCACCTCTGGGTCCCCACCCTCCATTGCAGGTTGCTCCACCAGCAGCACTGAGGTGACAAACCAGCTCTCTAGTCCATTGTCCAACGTGGAGACACAGAATTTGGCCAACCCATCCCATCTATGCATGCCTCAGTGCTTGCTGTGGCCTCTCTTCCAATGGCTTGCTCCTTCCTCTCCTCCATGTATCCATTCAAACACCCCTGCTTTATTTTGTTCCTTCAAACTTACCACTCAATATACTAGAATGTACTCAAATACATGCTTATTCTCTATCTCCTTTCCTTAGAATGTAAGTTCAAAGAAAGCAGGGATCTTATCCACTGCTGTAATCCTGGAACTTTTTTTTTTTTTTTTGGAGATGGAGTTTTGCTCTTGTCCCCCAGGCTGGAGTGCAGTGGTGCAATCTCGGCTCACTGCAACCTCCACCTCCCGGGGTTGAAGTGATTCTCCTGCCTCAGTCTCCCAAGTAGCTGGGATTACAAGTGCCCGCCACCACACCTGGCTAAGTTTTGTATTTTTAGTAGAGAATGGGTTTCACCATGTTGGCCAGGCTGGTCTCAAACTCCCTGACCTCAGGTTATCCACACAACTAGGCCTCCCAAAGTGCTGGGATTGCAGGCGCGAGCCACCACGCCCAATTCCGGGACATTTTACAACCACTGTCCTCAAACCCTCAGCATGTATCAGAATCCCATGGAAGCTTTGTTAAAATAGAGATTGTCAGGCCCCCATCCCTAGGGTTTCTGATGTAGTAGATCTGAGGTGGTACCCAAGAATTTTCATTTCTAGCAAGTTCCCTGGTGATATCGATGCTTCTGGTCTAGGGATCACACTTCTAGAACCACCACCTGAACTACTGTTGGCCATAGTAGGTGCTTAATAAATATTTGTAAAACAGATACATGAATGAAGGCTTTATGGTGTCTCCTGATTATTAATAAGCCTCTGTGGACATACCCAAGAGATGATTGCCCTCTTGCACCACATGCCATCTCCCAAGCCACCTTTTCCATGGATCTAAGTGCAGTCACACCTGGCCTTGAGGGGCCAGGACTTCATTCCCAGCACCCTGGTGAAGCCCTTCCCCTAAAAAGGTACGTGTCATCGCAGCTATGCCAAATCATTTTACTACAGATGGTTATGGCCGAGTTTAGTCTTTTTATGTCATCTTCAAAGTTCCCCTCAGGAGGACTTTCTATTTTATGTTCAAGGAGGAATATCATCACCCTGCTCATAATAACAAAAAACGAGGAACATCCTAAATGTTCAACAACAAAGAAATAAGTAAATGATGGTGTAGCCATATGCTAGAGTATCATTCAGCTGTAAAAATTATGTTTACACAGATTGTTTTAATAGCTGCAGTAAAATGGGTTTTATATAATACTACAAATAATAAAGCTGGAATAATATTCTCCTTGGAAGCTTGCTCCAGCTGGGGTAGGCATAGGCAGCCTTGCTCTGCAAATGCTGCACGGAAGTGGCAACACTTGCACCCGTGAACATGCACGTTTTGCGGATTTCCTTCTGCAACTGGAGGATGCTGTTTGGTTGGATGCAGGGAAGACAGGCAGAGGCAGTGCAATGATAGAGAGGGGCTGGGCTGGCATGCGTTTCCCATCTGACTCTGGACTAAATTTAGTTTCTCTATTTAGAAGAGAGAAGACCCGTTTTATAATAATACAGAGATGACAGTTAACTTTTATTGTGCAGTAACCATGTGCTGGACATACGTTCTAAGATATGTGCATACATTAATTACATTCCATTTTCTCAGTAATCCAATTATTTCAGGAAAGCAAATAGGCCAGTTTTCATCAAACACTTTGTGTGGCTGTGGGAACAAACAGGGCTGCTGTTTATCAAATACATTTATGTGAATGTGCTAGTTAAAAAAACAAAGATCTCTCTTGTGAATATTCTGATGGAAGGAAAATGATACAGCATAAGCAACTAAATTCTAAGGGATATTAGAAAGTGACAAGTGCTATAAAAATAGGAAGTAAGGCAGGGAGAAGGGGTGTTGATAGCATTTGGGTGATTTTTAAATAACAGGGTAGAGAAAAACCTAATTGAAAAGATGACATTTAGCTAAGACTTGATTTTGCGGAGGGAATTTATTGGCCTTGCAAAGGGAAAGTTAAATTTCAAGACTGTGCTATGGAAGAAACCCTAGTGTATTCCAGAAAGTGCTGGGAGGCTGGCAAGGCTGGAGTGGAGTCATTTAGGGCAAGGGCAGGTGGAAGGGAAGGCAGGTACAGCCCACGGGAGATGCAACACCTATGAAGCAAAGATAAGGATGCTGCCTTTTTACTCAGAGTAAAATGGGGAGCCATTAGGTTTGAGCAGAAGAGAGGCAAGATATAATCAGACTTCCATTTCCAAAGCATCATTCTGGCTGCTGCGTTGTCCCTGAAAAGGGGAAAAGTAGAAGAAAGTAGATCAGTTATGAGGCTGCCGCAGAATCCGAGTGAGAGATGATGGATTCAGACCAGGTGGTGGTGGTTGCAGGGGTAAGATGTTGTATTAGTGACCTATTGCTGCTATAAGAAATACCACCAGCAGTGGCTGAAAACAATGCAAATATTTCCTATTAAATTTCTGGAGGTAAGAAGTCCTAAAGGCAAGGTGCTGGGAGGGTTGTATTCCCTCTGGAGGCTCTAAAGAAATATCTGTTTTCTGTCCTTTTCCAGTTTCTAGAGACAAGAGACTGCCTGCATCCCTTGGTTTATGGCTCCCTCCTCCATTGTCAAAGCCAGCAGGATAGCATCTTCTAATTCTTGCCCTCACCTCTCTCTCTTATGTTTCTATCATCACATCACCTTCTCTGATTTGACCCTCCTACCTTCCTCCTCTAAGGACACTAGGGATTACATTGGGTCACCTGGATAATACAGGATACTGTGCCCATATCAAGGATCTTCATCACATCTGCAAATCTCCTTTTTTCATAGAAGGTAATATATTCACATGTTCTGTGGGTTATGACAGACATTTTTGGAGGGACATTTTTGGAGGGTCATTTTTGGCCTACGACAGGCATGGTCAGAGTCTACACATACTTTGAAGGCAGAGCCAAAGGTTATTCTGACAGGATGGATGTGGGCTAAGGAAAAGCAGTGAGTCCCAGGTGACCAGGAGGCTCATAACCTGAGCAACTGAAAGGATGGAGACTCTATCTGCTAAGAGATGTCCAAGTGTGGTAGAAAGCTGGGGAGGGGGCTCGGGACTCTGTCTCTATGAAGGACCCAAACACCCTTTGGGCATCCTATGTACAGGCAGCTTGACAGCTTTGGGGAAAAGTGTAGTCATTGGTATTTTCATAATGGGCACTGTCAGCAGGGACAGTGATGGGCTCTTCCTGGATGGTGGCTGGTGAGAGATAAAGGCTAGTTTGTGGGCTCAGGTGAGATGCCCCACTGAGATTTTGTAGAAAGAAAACCCTGGAAATCTAAAGTGGCTAAGTTCTTTTTTTATTATTATTATACTATATGTAACAAACCTGCACGTTGTGCACATGTACCCTAGAACTTAAAGTATAAAGTGGCTAAATTCTTAAGTGACTAGGTAGGGACTAGGACTCGTTGCAATTTGGGGATGCATATAAATATGATTGCTGTCTCTTGCAAGAGAATTATGAGGGCTAAGTGTGTGCGTGTGTTCATGTGTGTATGTGCATGTGTCTGTTTGTGTGTGTGCTATAAGCTCACCATATTAAGCTTGACATAAGAAAAATATAAAAGATTATGTCTACCCCCCCAAAAAATTATAGTCCATAATTCTGGGAGGTGGGATTATGGCTAATTTCTATTTCATTTTAGACTAGTTTTCTAAATAATCCACAACATGCTATATTAAGGACTTATTCTCTGAGACCGACATTTTTTTGAGAGGCCACATGGTAAAATGAAAATGATTAGTCTTACCTGGGCACAGATTGTGGCTCTACCACTCACAAGCTGAACCATGGTAAATACCATCAATTCCCACCTCTGTAACAAAGGAAGTTTTACTTGTGGATTAAATGGGATAACATTTGTGCATCAGTTAAGAATACTTTTGGCTATGGGTAATAAAACCTGACAGCAATAGCTTAAACAACAAACAGGTTTAGTTTCCTTTTTTTTTTTTTTTTTTTTTTTTGAGACAGAGTCTTGCTCTGTCACCCAGGCTGGAGTGTAGTGGCATGATCTCGGCTCACTGCAACCTCCACCTCCCGGTTCAAGCAATTCTCCTGCCTCAGCCTCCCAAGTAGCTGGGACTACAGGCGAGCACCACCATGTCCTGCTAATTTTTGTATTTATAGTACAGACGGGGTTTCACTGTGTTGGCCAGGCTGCTCTTGATCTCTTGTCCTTGTGATCTGCCCACCTCCGCCTCCCAAAGTGCAGGGATTACAGGCGTGAGCCACCGCACCCGGCCTAGTTTCCTTATATAGTAAGATGTCTAGGAACAAAAGACTTTAGCGTTGGCTCAGGGGCTCAGTGATGTCTGGACCAAGACTTTCGATTTTTGGCCCTTTGACTCGTGGTCACAAGATGGCTGCTGTAACCCAGCTATCATTGCTGTATTCAAGGCAAGAAGAAGGGGGAAGACAGAAAAGGATAGCATTACCAGCAAATCAAATGCTTTCCCAAATCCCCACAGAATAATTCTACTTCTTTCTCATTCACTAGAAATTGGCCACTACAACTAAAGGCAATCAAAGACAAAGGAGTAAGACAGTAAGTTGCCTTAAGACAATGACCTAATAATCACTTTCTTCCACCTGAAAAAACAAGCAGTGTGCCTAGTAGACAGGAGGCAATCTATAAATGCTAGCTATAACTATTATCAAAAATTTTAGAATACTTTTGCTTTTAAGAAAGCTAGTTTGGGGGATTTAAGAACTGTTGTCTCCTTTCAGCATCCCCAAGGCTTCTGTTTCCATTATTTTCCAGTCATCAATACTCGATAATGGGCAGGTTTTCTTCAATCGGCTCACACTCCAGTTTTCATCAGCAGAAGCCATTTTTCTCTGGCCATACACAGTTGTGTGAATAATCTGGGAATATTTGGAGTTAACTTACTAGAAGCCAAATGATTACTAAGGGCTCCTCAAGGAGATTGAACCACAAAAGTCCCATCAGCTCTATTACCCAAAGGATCAGCAGAGCCATGAACAGCAAGGGGGACAAATCCCACAGCTACTAATGCAGACTGTAGACTCATAATCAGCAGGTTTGTCCACATCCCCCCATGTCTGTTAACCTGGTCCACACCACCATCTATCTCCTCCTATCTTGACAATTCCAAGAGCTCCCAATTGCCCCCAGATCCTCCCAAGCCTCTGCCAGAGTAATCCCCTTACAGAGTAAATCAGACTTTGCCCCTGAACTTCAAAGTCTTCAACAACACCCATTGCATTGGGAATGAAATTTGCATACAGAGAATCCTGAGTGTGTGATGGACCCCAGCTCACATGCCACCTCCACCCTCCATCTTCTGCCCCTTCCTCTTGCTCACTGTGCACAGTCTTGGGGTTACTCATTGGAGACAAAACAACAGTCAGCCTTCAGGAAAGGGGACCTCATTTCAGGCGCCTTCACGTAAGAAGGTCCAAAATCCTAGCTTAGCACACAGATTTGATTAGCATTGCTGATTGACTCTGAGAAGATAGCAACATATGAGGGGAAAGCTTGTTTTCAGTCATTTCAGGAAGACACATGTGGGTCACAGGTAGGACGGCAGTGACAGCTGCCAGTGCACGTGGCATAAGAGCCACCGAGCTGTGACGCTCCTGAGCCATTCATCAGCCCTGGCAGCAGGACGTTGATGTTGATGAAGCAGCAAGCATGGGGGGAGGAATGAAAGATGCTCCCGTGCCTCCGCCTTGGCGCCGTCTTGCCTCCAGACACCAGGGCAGGGGAGCGTCTGCCTCTTCAGGTGACACGGACTCTGCTCCCTGGCTGAGAGATGAATTATAAACAGATTGAAGACACTCGCTTTAGGGACAATGCTCTTCTTCATCCCCACCCATAATGCAAAATTAATATGAGGAGGGATGAATGCAAATCTCTATCCACATGAAGCAGGAAAGAAGCTTTTAAAATGACATTCATCTGGGAAGGAAGCATTGCATCATGTGGAGTTGCTTTAAAAGCCATGAGCAGGCCTGGAGCAGTGGCTCACACCTGTAATCCCAGCACTTTGGGAGGCTGAGGTGGGTGAATGACTTAAGGTTAGGAGTTCGAGACCAGCCTGGCCAACATAGTGAAACCCTGTTTCTACAAAAAATACAAAAATTAGCCTGATGTGGTAGTGCACACCTGTAATCCCAGCTACTCCAGAGGCTCAGGCAGGAGAATCACTTGAACCTGGGAGGCAGAGGTTGAAGTGAGAAGAGATCATGCCACTGCACTCCAGCCTGGGTGACAGAGCGAGACTCCATCTCAAAAAACCTAGTAATAATTAAATAAAAACATAAGCAGTGCACCTAAGATAGAGAGGAGCACTTGGCAGGAGTCCTCTGACTCATGCAATGTCCAGGAACAGCCTCCATCACCCGTCATTTCCTGTGTCATGGGGTTCACCAGCCAGGAGAGTACCTGGACAATGGGCACCAACTGTCTTGCCCTTATTCCTTCAACCCCTGCACCCTCTACAAAGAGCAAAAGCAACTCTTCGAATAGAATGCCATGTGCTTATTCATTTATATAGTCATTCAACAATCATTTATTGGGCTTGTATTAGGTGACAGGCCCTGGGAATACGCAGTGAGCAAAGTGCATGGAACCCCAGTCTTCATGCAACTAAATTTTTGTGGGATGTAGAGAGAGAAAAATGGGCAACGTAATAATACTTTCTTTCCCAAATTAAGGGTAAACAAAGAAGACAGGACACACAAACACACATACACACACACACACACACACAGTAGTAGAGACAGAGACAGACGCAGACAGGGACAGAAAGGAACTTAATTGGCCTTATCCCCTTGGTTAAGTTAAAAGCAAAATCCCAATTGGTTAGGAGCAGCTCAGCATCCACCAAGCCTGTCAACACAGGTTCCTCAGTCCCGCTGGTACCCAAAAGATTTATTTAAATGCTTCCATCCTTTATCCTGTAGAAGGAAAAGGAGATAGTTCATGGGAAGGGATGTATTCCACCTGGTAACAGCCCATTGCAGACAAGCATAAGAGGCAGGCTCAGGCTGCAGAGGATGTGCAGATGGAATCTGAGGCCCTAAGAATCGCCACCTCTCCCACCAGCAGGCTCCCCACTGGCCGTAGAGAGAAGAAAAGTGAGGTGAGACATTTACAAAACACTTATCCATGGTAACACCATCCTATCAGCCTAAAGTCAGTGTCTAATTTGGTAATATGCGTATTCTTCCTGATTTTGATTGTTACAGTGTGGTTAGGGAAAATTATACCCTTGTGCTTAGAAAACACATACTGAAGTATGCTTTTTGCAACTTGCTACTAAATGGGTCAGAATATACATATATAAACATACACATGTGCACACACCTACCTATATGGAGAAAGAGAGATAAAACATATGAGAAAAAATGTTAATAAGTCTGAGAGATCTTATTCAGGAATTCTTTGTACTGCCCTTGAAACTTCCATGTAAATTTGCAAATGAATCAGAATTTAAAATTTTAGGGAAAAAAAGAGGTCAATAATCCAGATTTTACAAATAATTATTTTTCCCAATTGAATTCCACTATGTCTTGAATCCCACTTTTTTCTCTGAAGGTACATAAACTACTTAAAATATCTGGGACAAACCCTGAAAGAAAGTTGAATGAGATTCTTAGGGACCTGCCAATCTTCTCCCTGTGCTTGTGCCCCCACACATACGTGGTTCCCTCTGCCTGAAATGCTCTTTGTTCATTCTTAACCTGGTTGCCAGTTTCTAATTCTTCACATTTTAATTTGATATTGACTTGTTCAGTCGAAGAATTCCTAGCCTGAATCAAAGCTAACTCATCTCTTACATCTTTCTTACAGTACCTTGGATGGTCCTACCATACCTTAGCCCCATGTGTAATTATGTGTTTATTTTGTGATTATAGCCCCATGTGTAATTATGTGTAATTATGTGTTTAGTATCTGACTCTTGCATTGGGCCAAAAGAACTAAGAGAGGGCCGGGGGCGGTGGCTCACACCTGTAATCCCAGCACTTTGGGAGGCCGAAGCGGGTGGATCACGAGGTCAGGAGATCGTAGACCATCCTGGCTAACACGGTGAAACCCCGTCTCTACTAAAAATACAAAAAATTAGCCGGGCGTGGTGGTGGGCGCCTGTAGTCCCAGCTACTTGGGAGGCTGAGGCGGGAGAATGGCGTGAACCTGGAAGGCGGAGCTTGCAGTGAGCAGAGATTGCATCACTGCACTCCAGCCTGGGCGACAGAGCAGGACTCCGTCTCAAAAAAAAAAAAAAAAAAAAAAAAAAAAAAAGCTAAGAGAGGAGGGACCGGTTCTGTGCTGTTTTCCTGTGGAAGTAGCAGGCATTTGTTGTGCACTCAGGAAATATTTACAGAATGAGTGAGGAGAATGCACAGACTAAGGAAGAAAGGAGGGACAGAAAGAAAGCCGAAGGAAAGGAAAGAGGAAGGGACAAGGAACTGCCTAAAGTCATTCGAGAGACTTATATTTAAGGCTGTGGTCCCCTCACCTTCTGCCAATGCAGAAGTCTTAGAACTATCTATGACTCCTCTTTTTATCCTCATGTCCCACATCTAAGTGCAAGATTATCGACTCTCAGAGAAGGATTCTGTAGTGTCCAGCTGGAGGTGAGCAGTTCTTGTACTTGAGACCCTCCTGGCAACCATGAAGGGCTCCCGTTTCTTCTTCCCAGTGATAAGTCCAGCAACACTGAGTTAGTTCGTAAGGATGAGTTGTTACCCCATTGCCTACCCTTTGATCAGTATCGGATGTCTCATAAATATCTCAAACTGAATATGTCAAAAGCTGAACTGCAGTTCTACACACACACACACACACACACACACACACACACACACACACACAGAGTTCGCCTTCTCCATCCCATTAAGTATCCCTCCACCTGTGAGTTGCTCAGGGCAGAAGTCTTAGAACCATCCTTGACTCCTCTTTTTATCTTCATGCCCCACATCCAATATTTCAAAACTCCTGCTGGACCTGCCTGAATTGCCGCCAGCCTGCCCTGTGCCACCATCCCTCTTCTGTGTTATCACTCTATCTCCTAATGGCTCTTTTTGCTTTGCACCTGTGCTGCCTCCTGCAATTTGTTCTCCATCAGCAACCAGAGTAACCTCGTTAAAGCGTAAGTCACACTGAGCTTCTCTTCTGTTCAAAACCCTCCCATGGCTTCCATTCCACTTGAAGTTGAGAATCCGAGTATGCACCAGTATTGCAAAGCCCTATGGGCTATTCTCCCCCATGGGGTACCCTTGCTCACTCCTCTACAGCCACACTCGACTTCCCATTGTTCCATCAATGTACCTCTGTCTTCTGTGCATTTGCACTGGCTGGAGTTTCAGCCAGGAGGAACCTCACATCAATATCCAGGCTCAGGCCAGGTGCAGTGGCTCACACCTGTAATCCCAGCACTTTGGAACAGATCACCTGAGGCTGGGAGTTCGAGACCAGCCTGACCAACATGGAGAAACCCTGTCTCGTCTCTACTAAAAATAAAAAATTAACCAGGCATGGCGCATGCCTGTAATCCCAGCTACTCAGGAGGCTGAGGCAGGAGAATCTCTTGAACCCGAGAGCCAGAGGTTGTAGTGAGCCGAGATTGCGCAATTACACTCCAGCCTGGGCGAGAAGAGTCCATCTCAAAAAATAATAATAATAAATAAAATAAAATCCAGGCTCAGTCCTTCACCTCATTCAAGCTTCTTTCCAATGTTCTCTTATCAGAATGGCCAACACTGATGTAATTTAAACTATTTGTCCCCACTACTGCCACCACTAGCAGGCTGCCTCAGTGATTTTTACCCGGCTATATTAAATTTCTCTAGCACTTACCATTTTTAATTATATTGTCTGCCTCACCCAGCTAGATCGTCAATACCATCAAGATGAGAACTTTCATAGATTTTGTTCCAGTGCCTTATTCCAGCCAGCTAGAACTATGCTTGATACATAGTAGGTGCTTAGTAAGTATTTGTTTAATGAATTAATCAAGATCAGTGTTAAAGAAAGGTGTGAATAGTTAGCTTCATTACACAAACTTATTTCTTGGAAAATCAAGGCAAAGGGCATCTTGAAATTTCTACTTCTAGAATCAGATGCTATGCCAAGAATCAAAGATCATCCGCTATTTCTAAAAGTTATCTTTTCCTCTAACATTTCTCTTTTACAGCTTCTTATTTTAGAGAGTCCATATCTTTTTTTTAAGTGTCCTCTCCCTGTATTCTCTGTTTCCTCCAAGTTCATTTTGTCTGTTGGTTTAGTATAGCCTCTATGTTTTAATGTAGGCTTTCCTGAATTCTCAGGTAATTCTTTTTTTTTTTCTGAGACGAAGTCTCGCTCTGTCGCCCAGGCTGGAGTGCAGTGGCCCGATCTCGGCTCACTGCAAGCTCCGCCTCCCGGGTTCACGCCATTCTCCTGCCTCAGCCTCCCGAGTAGCTGGGGCTACAGGCACCTGCCACCACGCCCGGCTAATTTTTTGTGTTTTTTAGTAGAGGTGGGGTTTCACCGTGTTAGCCAGGATGGTCTCGATTTCCTGATCTCGTGATCCGCCCGCCTCGGCCTCCCAAAGTGCTGGGATTACAGGCGTGAGCCACAGCGCCCGGCCACTCTCAGGTAATTCTTGAAGGTCTCTTTATATTAGTAGTAATGCACCATAAAGCTGTTCAGGAATTCCGTAAATGTGAGTGGAGATTTTGCTACAGGGAGAAAATATTTGAAAACCATATATCCGACATGGAATTTATATCCAGAATATATAAAGTACTTTTTTTTTTTTTTTTTTGACAGAGTCTTGTTCTGTCACCAGGCTGGAGTGCAGTGGTGCGATCTGGTTTCACTGCAACCTCCACCTCCCAGGTTGAAGAAATTCTTGTGCCTCAGCCTCCCGAGTAGCTGGGACTACAGGCATGTGCCATCACACCCAGCTAATTTTTGTATTTTTAGTAGAGACGGGGTTTCACCATGTTGGCCAGGATGGTCTTGATCTCCTGACCTCGTGATCTGCCCACCTCGGCCTCCCAAAGTGCTGAGATTACAGACGTGAGCCACCGCGCCCGGCCTATATAAAGTACTCTTACAACTCAACAATCGAAATACACACAACCCGACCAAAAAACAGGCAGAAAGAATTAACAGACATTTCTCTTACAAAGAGACTAAAACGTGTATTCAACACCATAGTCCTTAGGGAAATGCAAATCAAAACCACAATGAGATATCATTTCAAGCCCACTAGGACGACTAGAACCCAAAAGTTAGACAGTACCATGTTGATATGGGTTGGATGTGTGTCCCCACAAAATCTCATTTTGAAATGTGAGCCCCAGTGTTGGAGGTGCAGCCTGGTGGGAGGTGATTGGATCGTGTGTGTGGGTCCCTCCGAATGGCTTAACACCATCCCTCTGGTGGTGAATGGGTTCTCACTCAGTTAATTCACACAAGATCCGGTTGTTTAAAAGAATATGGGGCCTTCCTTCTCTCTCTCTCTCTCTTGCTTCTGCTCTCGCCATGTGACGCACCTGCTCCCACTTTGCCTTCCACCATGATTGCAAGCTTCCTGAGGCCCTCACCAGAAGCCAAGCAGATGTTGGTGCCATGTCTGTACAGCCCACAGAGCTGCGAGCCAGTTAAACCTCTTTCCTTCACAAAATAACCAGCCTCAGGTACTCCTTTATAGCAATGCAAGAATGGCCTAATGCCCATGAATTGGTGAAGATATTTGTAAAAACTAGAAAATTGCCGGTAGAAATGTAAAATTGCACAGTCCCTTTGGAAAACATTTTAGCAATTCCCCAAAAAGTTAAACAGGCCGGGCACGGTAGCTCACGCCTGTAATCCCAGCATTTTGGGAGGCCGAGGCGGGTGGATCACGAGGTCAGGAGATCGAGACCATCCTGGCTAACACGGTGAAACCCCGTCTCTACTAAAAATACAAAAAATTAGCCGGGCGTGGTGGCAGGCGCCTGTAGTCCCAGCTACTCCGGAGGCTGAGGCTGGAGAATGGCTGTGAACCCAGGAGGCAGAGCTTGCAGTGAACCGAGATCAGGCCACTGCACTCCAGCCTGGGAGACAGAGTGAGACTCCGTCTCAAAAAAAAAAAAAAAAAAAAAGTTAAACATAAAGTTACTATATGATCCTGAAGTTCCACTTCAAATGTCTTCCCAATAGAATTGAAAACAAATGTTCATGCAAAGATATGTACACAAATGCCCACATTGGCATTATTCGTAATACCAAGAATTCAAACCAAATATCTCTCAACTGATGTATTGATAAACAAAATGTGTTTATCCATGCTATAAAAAGAAAGGAAGTACTGATACATGAACTAACATAGATAAATCTTAAACACACTATACAAAGTGAAAGAAGTCAGACACAAAAGGTCATACATCATATGATTCCATTTATATGAAATATCTGTAATGACAAAATCCATGAAGACAGAGTGGTGGTTGCCGGGGGCCAGTGTTTGAGGGAATGAGGAGTGACTGCTAATGGAGTGATGAAAATGTTCCAGAATCAGATAGTGGTGATGGCTGTTCAATTCTGAGAATGCACGAAAAGCAGCTGAATTGTATACTTTTAAAGGATACGTTTTATGTTATGTGAATTATAGCTTAATAAAGCCACATTACAAAAACACTTAAAAGCAGGTCTAATAGATATTTTTATATCTACCGTCATTTTTCTTAAAAGTCGTGACAACTCCTCTGTTGTTTCTAAGTTACTGCACATCTTGGCCACAAGAGATCAGAGGAACCCTAAGACAGGCAGCACTCTAAGTTAGGAAGTACTTATGATTTCTCCATGGTTTCCCACAGCAACTCCAGGCCAGCAAATTGGGAAAATTATGCTCCACAAACCTTCTGCCGTATTTTACCCTTTGTTAAACTTAAACCAGAGATGCAACTCACTAACCTATGCCATGAAATGGCGTTGACATTAGAATATTTATTTTATAAATAGAAATACACCCCCACTCTTTGAGCACAGTGGTTCATGCCTGTAATCCCATCACTTTGGGAGGCCCAGGCAGGAGGATTGCTTGAGGCCAGGAGTTTGAGACCATCCTGGGCAACAGAGCAAGACCTCATCTGTACAAAAAATACAAAATTAGTAGGATGAGGTGGCACACGCCTGTAATCCCAGCTATTCGGGAGACTTGGGTGAGAGGACCACCTGAGCTCAGGAGTTTGAGGCTGCAGTGAGCTATGATGGCACCACTGTACTCCAGCCTGGGCAATAGAGTGAGACTCTGTTTCTAAAAAAAGAAAAAGAAAAGAAATATATCCTCCTAGATCCTAATTCTGAAGGATCTTCCACCTCCAGTCATAAGAGGTGATATGTGTGGTGATGTTCATGACAAATGGTTGTCACAGAATGCATCTCAAGTCTTTGTCATTGTCATCCTTTAACGTGAAAGCAATCCCCCACAGTCTGTCAGGACATGAAGCTGCCCTAACATACATTCCAATCCACATGATAAATCTTCCTTGCAAAGATTTCAGCCCTGAGCTAGGGATTCTCAGCTCCAGCTTCACACTATAATCACTGGAGAAGCTTTTTAGTAGTATCATCCAGGCCAGGCACGGTGGCCCACGCCTGTAATTCCAGCACTTTGGGAGGCTGAGACAGGCAGATCACGAGGTCAAGAGATCGAGACCACCCTGGCCAACATGGTGAAACCCCATCTCTACTAAAAATACAAAAATTAGCCAGGCTTGTTGGCAAGCACCTGTAGTCCCAGCTACTTGAGAGGCTGAGGCAGGAGAATTGCTTGAACCCGGGAGGCAGAGGTTGCAGTGAGCCGAGATCACACCACTGCACTCCAGCCTGGGCGATAGAGCAAGACTCTGTCTCAAAATCAATTAATTAAAATAATAACATCGATTGGGTCTCATCTCAAAACAATTGAATCTGAATCTTTGGGGATGAATCCTGGGCATGATTATGTTTTAAAGCTCCTAAGATTATTTATTCCATTGTGCAGCCAGGCTTGAGAAACACTAATTGGACCAAAAGCAAAATCAACACAAAGCATATTTGGGCATTATGTGGGTCCAGTTCATAAGGGGGATGCATATTTCAAGACTTTATTATTTTGTTTTGTTAATGTCAGCAGTACTCACTGATGTCATTCTCATGCATGCAGATTAGCATGGAAAGTGAGGCTACTCCCAAGGGTCTCTTTGGCCTTCATCACCTCCAAGAGGTACAGAGTACAGGAAGACAAGAAACAAGACTGCCTGACTTGGTAGCACCAGGCTCCTCTTTCTCTGTGTCATCTCTGTGTGTGCCACCTTCTGTAAGGACTCTTTACACAGCAAGCACCAGCAAGTCCAAGTATTAAATGTCATTTTGGTTTGGCCAACATGAGTTCTTCAGGCTCAACCTACAGACCTTCACTGCACCCCACACAGCGTAGCAAATGGTACAACCTGGATATGATCAGCCCAGGCTTGGCCACCTATTGCCAGAGGCTTTGCCTGTGGTGGAAGGAGGTACTCCTGTTTCATTTATCTTGATAACCATGTCCCCTAGCTCTCAAGAGCAGCCTTATCCCCCTGCAGAAGACCCCCCGCCATAGGACAGAGCTGTTCAAGTAACTCTAATCTGGTTTCTTTGTTCAGCGGCATTGTCAAAAATTGCCACCAGTAACTTTATTCCTAAGGACTTTCTTGATCCAAGCGGATTTAGACTGGAGTTTCCAAAATGTTTTTCCCTAAATCTGGTTTCTTTGTTCAGTGACATTGTCAAAAACCACCACCACTAACTTTATTCCTAAGGACTTTCTTGATCCAAGTGGATTTAGGCTGGAGTTTTCAAAATTTTTTTATTTAACTCATTCCTTCTTTTCCAAAAAATTTACATGTTTTGATAGTCCATTCTGTCTCCACCATGGAGTTGGGGCAGAGCTGGAGAATCTTCCTCTTTTTCTACCCTTTCCATCAAAAACCATTGCTGCATTCTTCATTTGCCCACCAAGTATGTGCTGAGTGCTGCCTTCTCCAGATTGTATTACAGAAACAAGGTTTTTGTTTTACTGTATTAGAGATTTTTGTTGAGAGCAGATTTTAGGGGCTCTTGCCACACATAAAAACCTAACTATGTGAGATGACAGGTATGTTCATTTGCTTGACTACAGTAACCATTTCACCATGGATGAATATATCAAAACATCATATTGTGCACCAGAAAGATGTACAATAAAAAAATAATAAAAATAAACTCTGGGCAGATTATTTTGGGTCTTGATATTTCCTCAGCATACTAGCACATTTTCTATTTTTTTTCCAAACAGTCCTCATTGAGAGAGTCAAATTTGTTTTGTTTTCATCAAATCATAAAAATTTTATTTCACAGATTTATCTTGTTAATTTCTGAAACTACAAAGCAAAAAGATGCAAGATGAAACAAATTCTGTGAAGACAGTGCCTGACATAAGATAGTCAACACATTCTTATTAATGATTTCTCTTAAATGATTATATTGATTCTCTTTACATTAAGCTATTTGCTATTTATTTGGGACCAAGATTACCAACATATTGCAAAATGTATTATTAAGTGTCTATAATTGCATAAAGATTTAAATAAAAAAGCAGGACTCGCACAATTTATATTTTTTTTCCATTATGGAACACAAACACAATAATGCTACTCTCCATTGATTTATGTTATCAGCATATCAAGTAGAGTTGCTCATGAAAATATAACCCAATTTATATGTGAAAATTGATTGTAACAATGAAAAAAACACTTCAGGAAATAAACTCTAACATTTAGGCTAAAAACAACACCAGGTTTTTTGTTAAATATATCTTATTATTTAAAGATTTTGTAAGCTGGGCATGGTGGTTCATGCCTGTAATCCCACCACTTTGAGAGGCTGAGGTGGGCAGATCACCTGAACCCAGATGTTCAAGACCAGCCTGGGTAACACAGAGAAACCCTGTCTCTACAAAAAAAAAAAAAAAAAAAAAAAAATTAGCCAGGCATGGTGCACTGGCCATGCAGGCATGTTCCTGTAGTTCCAGCTACTCAGGAAGCTGAGGTCGGGGGAGTCGCTTGAGCCCTTGAGGTGGAGGTTGCAGTAAGCTGAGGTGGTGCCACTGCACTGCAGCCTGGGCAACCGAGTGAGACCCTGTATCAGAAAAAAAAGAAAAAAATTGTAATCATGAATTGCTAAGACATAGATGACTCTCCCTCAGAGATCTTGATCTGCTCCCATCCCCTTGTCAATCACTGAGTCTCAGAGTCCCCTGGAGGAATGGGAATCATAACTAGCGTCCCTGAGCACTCAATAGGAGCTCAACTGTGCTGTGCATATATCACCTCATTTAATCCCCACCACAGCCCTAGGACGTGGGATGTGGTTAGTGCACCCAACTCACACATAAGGCAATGGATGCCCAGGGAAGGCATGTAACTGGCCTGAGACCACACAGCCAGAGCAGGATGGGGCTGGAATTTGGTATTGGAGTCTGCATTCTTATGATCCAACTGCATGATAACCCTCAAGGCCAGTATGGCACAAACTCAGATCTTTTCCAGTGAACTAAAAGCTTCTTGAGAGCAGGGACAATGTTATTCATCTGTGTCTCTTCAGTCCTGGAAATAAGGCCTAAACATATTTAGTGCCCAGCAAAGATTTCTTGAGTTAATGATTAAGAGTCATTTTATAATTAAGCTGTGACTGCCTAGCATGCCCTAAGAGAATCAGAAAATGGGCTCAGTTGGCGAGACCAGAGGATCAGAGGAAGCAGAGTAAAATACATTGGATGGTGGTCATTTTCAGAGAATGAATCACTTTGGGAATACAGTCTAGAGAGAATTTCACAGGATTCTCTCCATTACTGCTTACAAAAAACTAAGTTGACCTAAGGGGTTTCCAGTACGTTGACTCCCCATGGTCATAGTTTTAAGTATTTGCTCAATGACTAACCCTATGGGCCAATCTTTTCCTTCTTGCACATAGGAATTTGAAAGTTATTTTATTTTACTTATCACTAAGTTTAGCTTTGTAACCTATCAACCACGGTTATGAATATTACACATACCACAAATTCCTCAAGTCAAAATTAGCTTAATTTTACCCTAAATACAAATGTGTAAACTACAGCATGTGGATGTGGATGTGTGTGTTTGTGTGTGTGTAATAACAGGTCTTTATTTTCTAATTATATAAAATATGCCAAAGCTAACATGCACAATACGAACAATAACATCTCAAGACCCCAATATGAATATGCCTTGGCCACACTAATTTGACAATCACATGACAATTGCCGTACGTTCCTTTTGCCGCCGCCAGTCATTAGGGTTCAACATTTGTCCTTCAAATCCTTCAGCAGCAGTGACTGCCATGCCTTCCTTCAGTACACATTCCCCATTCTCACAAAGATGAGCCATTCAGTTGCTTCATGTGAGAAGCCAGCAGTAGAGCAGGGCTGACCTGCCCTGCTGCTCTCTACTGCACTCAATGGCCAAGACAACCAAGGCTCCTGTGAAACATTTCTGCTGTCACTAGATGTGGTCGAAGGACGCTTGATGGAGTAAGACTGAGATGAAGCAAACAGCTTGTCCCACAAACTCAAGAGCGTGGGCTTCCAGCTGGAAAAGGAAAGTGCAGAGTCATGCTCTTGTTGCCTTTTGCAGTTAATACGGGAACTCCAGTGGGATGTAAGACCTTGAGTGGCGTTACAGATGAATTTGGCTTCCATGAACATATATATTCAATTACTATCCTGCTTTGGTTATTGATGATTTCATGCATCCTGTGACTGATTGTGCGAGGAGCCACTGCACTAATGGAAAATAAATGAAGGTCTCTTGCTATTATGTCAAGGCGTTTTTTAAAAAGACGCTGCAGGACCAAGAAAAGCAAAATTAAATCTCTTCTTACTTTATAGATGTAAATTTGCACATTCATGCTATATCAACCCTTCGCGTCACCTTCTCTCTCTACATATAAGGGTATTGTTTTAAATGTGTTACAGAAAGAAAGAGACAGAGAGAGTTTTCTGTAATTGAATTTCATTTCTATAGTGAGGCCATAAATGCTTGAAACTTAATCTCAGGTCTTGCTGCAATTGACTCAATCTGGATGGTTTCTACTTGAGCCCATAATGAAAAGCAATTTATGGCAAATCGGTACTAATGGCCAGTTAACTGTTTCTGAGCTTTGAACTAAAATTGAGATGTAGTAACATGTTTACCCAACCTCAAGTATGTCAATATTGAAAACTAAATAGCAAAAAGAGGTCAAAATTCCTTCAGCTTCTTCTCAAATAATGGGTGATTGGAGTCTCGTGATGCAAATGAATCTTCACCACTCAGAGGACTATGTGCTTTGAGAATAAAAAAAGAATAGCACCAAATGTGGTGAACATTTCTTGTTTATTTATTTATTCTCTTTCCTAACAACACTCTATTTAAATTGGAATTACCTCTTTCATGTTAGACATGATCTATTCCGGTGGTTACCTCCGCCAAGGTAGGTCAACTAGGCATCCCTTTTTAAACAGAGGGACAAATAATTGAAAGGAGCTTATGTTCAATTTCATTTGAAAGATGGCTTGTCCTCTAATCCCTTTGTATCTAGGGAGCACTGATGAGGTTCCCAGTGTCTTCCGGAGCTGCCTTGGGCCACCCAGGCCAATACTGAGCTTCCCGCTAGTTCCAGAGGCACACACTCTCCATCACCCTTATCTCTGTTCAATAAATCACCTTGTGCTTACATTAAGCCAAGTTGATTTCTTTTTGCTTGCAAAGAATTCTAGACCATATATCTACATATTTTTAAAATATTATTGATTTACTAATATATCTATTGAGTAGCAATTAAGTGCCCAGAGTTTAGCTTAGCACTCTGAAAGATCTGTACAATCCCTGCCCCCAAAACCTCAAGAAATCCCCCGATAGACCATGCATATGAACTGGGAAGGTTTCAGTAAAGAAACAGAAGGAGGGGGCCGGGCGCGGTGGCTCAAAACTGTAATCCCAGCACTTTGGGAGGCTGAGGCGGGTGGACCATAAGGTCAAGAGATCGAGACCATCCTGGCCAACATGGTGAAACCCCATCTCTACTAAAAAAAATACAAGAATTAGCTAGGCATAGTGGCATGCGCCTGTAGCCCCAGCTACTCTGGAGGCTGAGGCAGGAGAGTCGCTTGAACCCAGGAGGCAGAGGTTGCAGTGAGCCGAGATCACACCACTACACTCCAGCCTGGGTGATAGAGCGAGACTCCATCTCAAAAAAAAAAAGAGAGAAAAAAAAAGAAAGAAAAAGAGGGAGGAAGAAATTTCCACAATGTGGAAAATGCTGGATATATCTTTACACTTTGAAACAAAGATTCATGTTTGCATTATAAGCACACACACAGAGAGAGACTTTAATAAAGGCACAGAAAACTCTAAACATTGGAGCTTTGGATCTGCATTGATCTGATTTCTAGCAATTCAATGATTTCTAGCATTGGAACTGAGCTAGAATACCTGGGCTGGTGAGGATACATATTAATACCTGGTAATGGGCGTGGTCACCTGTGCATCAAATACACTTTCCCCGTGCACTTGCTGGAAGGCAACTAAGGCTTGTCCCACAGCTACATTCCCTAGTATCCCCTTTCCCAGAACCTAGATGGGATCATATGACTAGAATCCACTCAGGAAATATGAACAGAAGCAGTGTGTGTTGATGTGTCTTAAGATGCAGCTGTGTTTTCTCTACTTGTTTTTTTTTTTTTCCTTTGTTGCCTTCTTGTCATGGGTTATCACATCCATTTTGGAAGCCATGTGTTGAAGTTGGCAAAGTCGTGTATAGAACTAATCACTGCCGAAAAGTGATTCATCTAATGACTCAGAGCAACCATTCGGAGGGTTCTAGCAGTAAGAAATAAACATCTATTGTGTTTGAGCCATTTTGCATTTTTAGATTTATTTGTCATAGCAACCAGTATTATCCTAAACAGCACACTCAGATACACACACACAATAGAAATTTCTATATTTTACATGACTGCCTTGTTTTAGACAATTTTATTCAGCGAACTAGTATTAGCTGAAATCCTATCATTTGCTAAGTATTCTGTTAGGATTTGCAAGTGTAATTCAAACCAGGTCTGTCGAGTTTCCAACATCCTAGAATACGTACCTTAAAATATTTAATCAAGTAATAATATGGCTTTCCATTTATGTAACACATTAATATATAAAGTCATTTTTCACATCTACTAACTCATGTGGTTCTCACATTTCCTTAGTGTAGGCAAAGCAGAGATCATTAACTCCATTTCCAACTGTGAAACCAGACTCTCAACAACGTTCCCATGGTCAAACATCTAGCAAGGCTACGTCTGAACTGAAGTTGAGAGCAGTGGTTCTCAACTGGAGGTGATTTTGCTCTCCACCTTCCCCAGGGGCAGTGTCTGGAGACATTTATTGTTGATTGTCACACTTGGACAGGGGGTGCTACTGGCAGCTGGTGGGCAGAGTCCTGGAATGCTGATCAGCACCTTATCATGCACAGGACACTTTCTACAACACGGAATTATAAAATCCAAAATGCCAATGATGCTGAGATTGAAAAACATTGGCTGAGAGCTTCTGTTTCCTAATCTTTGGTTTATCCCAGGAGAGCTTCAAACCTCTCAACAACAACCCAGGAAATTAGAAGACTATAGAGAAACACTTTCAATATTCTAAGAAAAAAACATTTTTAATGAAGAATTCCATACCTACACAAATTAAAGTATGACAGGAAAACAAAAACATTCCCATATATTCTAGGTCTTTTGGAGAGCCAGTAATGACATAAACCACATAGATTAGGAAGCGAGTCAAGAAGAAGGAAGACTAACACATAAAAGAAGCAAACAGAATCCTTGGGATGTTGCTAAAGGAAGATCAAAGATGGGAGCTGCTCACTAGGTGTAGACAGCAACTTGCCCATGCTGGAGTAGGTCAAAAGACTCTAGGAGAGATGACCATCAAAAAAACAAAATTGGTGAAATATATTGATAGGAGGTTTAGACAACTAGTGGAGAATATGGGGTTGTTAATGATGAGTTTCTTAAAAATATAAAATAAAATAAAGTACCAGGACAATTACTGATATAGTTTGGATATTTGTCCCCACCCATTATGTTGAAAGGTAATGCCCAGTGCTGGAGGTGTGTCCTGGTGGGAAGTGTTTGGATCTTGCGAGCAGATCCCTTGTGAATGGCTTGGGCCATCCCCTTGGTGATAAGTGAGCTCCGGCTCTGAGTTCACACAAGATCTGGTCATTTAAAAGTGTGTGGCACCTCCCCTCCTACTCTCTCTCTTGCTCCTGCTTTCGCCATGTGGTGTGCCTGCTCCCCCCTTGCCTTCCGCCATGCTTGAAAGCTTCCTGAGGTCTTGCCAGAAACAAACGTTGCTATGCTTCCTGTACACCCTACAGAATCATGAACCAATGAAACCTCTTTTCTTATAAATTACCCAGTCTCAGGTATTTCTTTAGAGCAATGCAAAAAGGGCCTAACACAATTACTAACTCCAGGTAAAACAAAAAGTAACATAAAATAAAATGTAATCTAGTAATCCACATGGTTTACATGTGAATCATGTTTCACCATCCTAAATATGTAAAAATTATATGACCTAATCTAGATAACAATGTAACTAGGTGATGGGGCACAAAAGCTGAATATATTTCAGTGTGTCAAAAAGAGAATTAGAGCTGCATTGAAACTGAATTCTCAGGCTCAACAGCAGGAAGTCCTCTAAGAACAAAAGCTGAAAATATATCACCTGGAATTATACAGCAAAGTGCCACAAAAATTATCAAAACAGTTTAAAGTGGTTGCCTGTCACTCAGGGGAATTAGGCAAATAGTAGGGGACTATTTTGGCTCGGTTTGGTTTGGATTTTTAACAAATCCGGTTGAAATAATTGAATCTTTAAATTATGTAATGTATAACTTTGTTTCATTAAAAGTGCATTGAATTTTTGTAAGTTTTCTATGTAGTTTTTCTCCCAAATGTCCAATTTCTTCACTTAAAGATGAGACTATTTCATAACCCGTTGGAACTTTTGATTTCTTCTTCAAATGGTCTGACATTTTGTAGTTCATTTCTATGCAAGCATTTACCACTCACTGTATAAGTGATTCAAAGATAGGTCTTATACTTTATGGAAGTATAAATCATAGTCTATACCTAAAGAATTCACAAGCTCACTGGAGAAAGAAATTGGGAAGACATAAAAGAGTAAAGTGACTTTGAGTATTTCATAAATTCTTACATGACATTTTTTCAGTTTCATATCACTTAATTTAGAAACCATCTTACCATCGATTGTGTCTTACAATATATGATGTTTGCTTCTTAGTGCTATATAAAATAATATCTTTTAATCTATACAGTTTCAAGGTTGTCTGTTTATGGAATGTGTAACTAAAGATTAAGTTATTCAAAACAGACTCTAATTGTTGTGTGAGTGCAAAGATGGAGCGGGGAAAACTCTTTAGAGGAAGCAGGATTTGAGCATCATGTTTAGATACAGAGAAGTGAGGTCTTGCCTCCTAACCAGCTCTCAAATTTGCCCACTTGCTTCACACCCAGGGCTTCTGCCTTCCTTTAAGCCACAGTTTTCTTACCCCCAGATCACCAGTGCCATCTGGGCTGACCCCTTCAATTCTGCTCCCTCAGGCTTTTCCCCCTGCAGCCCCAGGGATCTTCCTGAAAGGTAAATCGAGTTACCCCACTTCCTCCTGAAGACGTTCCAAGGGCTCCCCAAATGCCTGGTGGGTAACAATATGTGTCCCCATTTGGTGGCTGCCAACCCTTCAGCCCCATCCCTTTTACCCTTCACACCCCACTGGACCATTCAGTCCCAAGAATGCATCATGCTCTCCCCATTCTGAGGCTTTTCTGGGTGCCATGCTTGCCTGGACGTTCCCTAACCCCCATTGGTGTTTGGCTAGCTCCTCCTCAACTCTAAGTTTCCTGTTTAAACATTTAATTTGCTCGATCCTCTCAAGTGTGGGTTCAACATCTCTGCTGTGGCTTCCTGTGGTATCTTGTGTCCCCACTGGAGCCCTATGCCATAAATAGCTGTTGCACTGAACCCTCAAGATGCAAGGAAAATAATCTAGAAACAATTCTGGTTTTGTCTTTTCCTTCCCTTTCTACCACTTAGAGGGATGACCCTTTGTCTTCCCCCTGGATAATGACTAGGAGGGTTTACAGCTCACAAGTTCTGACACAGAAAGGTTGTTATCCATCAATGTGTCACTCCCTCTTCCAACATGCAGAGCTGTCACAGGGAGCAGCTGTCCAGCTGGGAATAACATTTGCCACCATGACATTTAGTTGGGGGTGTGTGGCTAGTTGTCACCAATAGGGTGTGAGCAGTGGTGATGTGTTGCTTCTGAGCCAAGGTGAGTAGGAATAGAGAGTGTCAGCTTTGTACTTTCTCTTCCCCTATCCAAATACAAATATGCAAAATGGAAATAGCCGGGTTCTCAGCAGCACCTGGAAGTTGTTACTGAAACACCAGGGGTTTGGTCTGAGTCCTACTGCTTACTGCACAGAAAGCAAATCACTGAGACGCCGAGTATTGCCAAGGAAGAAGGCTTTAATTGGTTGCTGCAGCTGAGGAGATGGGAGCTCAGTCTCAAATCCATATCTCTGACTGACTAAAACCAGGGCTTTACATAGCAGGCAAGAAATGTAACAATGTGTAAGAAAACAGGAACTTGGGAAGGGCAAGGAAGCCATCATGGTGAATGAGGGGTCCAGCATCTGGTGTGGTGATCTAGTTTCCCTTCTTTGATATTTTTTGTGAGAAGCATGAGGTCGTTTCCTGAGAAAGGAACTCAGATAAAACAAATATACGCTTCAAGCTTTAACAGCACAAGGGTCCATTTCTATGTTTATCCAAAAGCAACTCTCTATGGGACTCTTAAGGCTGGTTTCAGAAGGACTTCCACTAGCCAGATTTAAGGGGGACATAATTCTCTTGTGTCTGTCCATTGAGATTTGGGGATTTATTTGGTATTCTGGTTACTGCTATTCTATCGTATTCCCCTATAATCAGTCTTATAATATCCTTAAGATCATATAGTCTCGATGTGTTATTTGAAAATTATATTAATTACATAAATCAAAATTTTATAAACTTGCTATAAGTAAAATGTCCTCCCTGTTTAAGTCGGCTCCCTCCCCAGTGAACATTGTTCCTTCGCCCCCATATCTGCTAGCTGCCTTTGTCTATTGGGGCTTCTGCAACAAAGTGCAGTAGCCTGGGTGGCTTATTGACAACAGTTTATCTCTCACAGTTCTGCAGGCTAAAAAGTCCAAAGTGAAGGCTCTAAAGATTCAGTATCTGGTGAGGACCCGCTGCCTCCTCGTCTTCATGCAGTAGAAGGGATGAGGGAGCTCTCTGGGATCACTTTTTTAAGGATACTGTATTAGTCTGTTTTCACGCTGCTAATGAAGACATATCGTAGACTAGGTAATCTATAAAGGAAAGAGGTTTAATGGGTTCACAGATCCACATAGCTGGGGTGGCCTCACAATAATGGAGGAAGGTGAAGGAGGAGCAAAGTCACATCTTACATGGTGGCAGGCAAGAGAGCATGTGCAGGGGAACTCCCCTATATAAAACCATCAGATCTCATGAGACTTATTCACTATCATGAGAACAGCATGGGAAAGGCCTGCCCCCATGATTCAATTACCTCCCACTGGGCCCCTCCCATGACACATGAGGATTATTACAATTCAAGATAAAATTTGGTTGGGGACACAGCCAAACCATATCAGGCACTAATCCCATTAATGTGGGCTCCATCCTCATGATCTAATCACCTCCCAAAGGCCCCAGTTCCTCATACCATCACACTGGGTGTTAAGATTTCAACTTATGAATTAGGGAGGGGGACACAACATTCCATCTATAGCACTAGCTAAGGTTTTTGATCCCAAGGGTGGCATGTAAATCAAGCAAACCTATTCTTCTTTTATTAGTATTAAGTAAGGTGGCTTTGCATCCCCCAGACATGGAAGGTGTTAATTTTTTTTTTTTTTTTTTTTTTTTTTTTTTTTTTTTTTGGAGACAAGTTCTCCTTCTGTTACCCAGGCTGGAGGGCAGTGGTACGATCTCAGCTCACTGCAACCTCCGCCTCCCAGGTTCAAGAGATTCTCCTGCCTCAGCCTCCCGAGTAGCTGGAACTACAGGTGCCTGCCACCATGTCTGGCTAATTTTTTATATTTTAGTCGAGACAGGGTTTCACCGTATTGCCCAGGGTGGTCTCAAACTCCTGAGCTCAGGCAATCTGCCTGCCTCAGCCTCCCGAAGTTCTGGGATTACAGGTGTGCACCACCATGCCTGGCCCTAAGGTGTTAAAATTTGACCCTTTTTCTTATACATATACATCCACGGGTCCTCCCAAGACCCTCCTCTGGAGAAGCTGCTATATCTGCTGAATCTACCCAAGCAAAATTTCCTTGGTACAGACGAGTCCCATCTTTCCCGCTAGATGTTTCTGAGTCCTCATGACCCCTGAGCTTCTGTTCCATGCAGAATAGCACAGCCCCTTTCAGTATGGGGTTCCTTGCTGCAGCCCACTGCCATCTTTTAAAATATCCCCATACCAATATTTTGACTGTTGACTGTGTTGTAATATGTCTCCAAGATTCATAACACTTAGATCCACCCTCCAAGAGCAGCAGAGAATTTTTCCCCCTCTCTCCATCTCTGCTGCTATAGGCTCTTTGTGTTGTTATTCTTTAACTATTGTGTTAAAGTGTTGTTGTTGTTTAACTATTGTCAACTCTGAATGCAATTTAACAATACAACTTTGTAATTACCCATACAGAAAAACTGTGTTTCTCAGCAACAAATCGGGAAATTAAATTCACCAGCTCACCCAAAGCTAAAAATGCCCAAATACTTCCAACTTTCTTTTTCCTTTAGCACCATGCAGCTTATCAAAAATGTTACTCTGGGCCGGGCGTGGTGGCTCACACCTGTAATCCCAGCACTTTGGGAGGCCAAGCCAGGCGGATCACTAGGTCAGGCGATTGAGACCATCCTGGTTAACACAGTGAAACCCCGTCTCTACTAAAAATACAAAAAATTAGCCGGGTGAGGTGGCGGGTGCCTTTAGTCCCAGCTACTCGGGAGGCTGAGGCAGGAGAATGGCATGAACCCGGGAGGCAGAGCTTGCAGTGAGCCGAGATCACGCCACTGCACTCCAGCCTGGGCGACAGAGCGAGACTCCGTCTCAAAAAAAAAAAAAAGGAAAGGAAAAAAAAGAAATCATCACACAAATATCTAGAAACCAAGGATAACAATTTCCTCATATTTGTAAAATAAATTATAATGCAAGTTGATTAACTTTTTTAAAATAATCAGCTGGTCCTAGACGATCTTTAATTGATGGAATAAAAATTGTTCTCTAGTTGTTTAAGACAAGAGACATTCTTTGATGTCAGATATTCATCATCAAAATAGTAACAAATATAATAATGCATTAACCATATATTGTTTGACTGCCATCTATGTGCTGATGTATAGTTGGGATGGAGACAAGCAGTTGCCCTCAAACCCATCCTCCTCTTCTTTCAGTGAGTAATAGAATACCCACTTTTCACCAGCTTCTCAGGATCATGGCCACACTTTCCAGCACCCCTTGTAGGAAGATGTAGCAACGTTACTGTGCCCAGGCCAATGGAATCATGGGCCTTTTCCAAGGCACGATTCTGTTTCCCCTTATCTCCTTCCTGCTGGTTGTACTGGGATGTGTTGAACCACCTGGGACCAAGTGGATAACATCCCAGGAATGGCCAAGCAACAAAAGAGAAAGAGTCCGGGTCCCTTGTGACTTTGGATTAATGAGGCCACTTAGTTGATGATTAATGGCAGCTGCCAAACCAACTCAGTTTTACTGGAGAGGGAACAAACAGGTGTCCTAATTATTCCAATGGGTAATAGTGAAGAAAAAAAGTAATACTCTTCAGATCTCAAGGAGCTTAAAGTGTAATCATAACAGCTGCTTTTTACTTGAACCAGGCCCTCTGCCCTAGTGCTTCTCAGCATCATTCCATTCAATGCTTACAACAATCCAATGAGGTAGGTCTATTACTCCCATTTTTCAGAAGAGGAAACTGAGGCTTGGAGATGATCAATTATTTTCTCCAAGTCATGTGATAATGGTAAGTAGTGACCACAGCCCAAATCCAAGTTCCTCCACTCCAAAGTCCATGCTCTTATATAATACAGCTCCCCGATGCAAAGACTGCGGCAGATTGATCTCTCACAGGTCAGCTCAAATTGGTTCCCTAGAGAAGTGTGTTGGAAAGAATTCTTGGTCACAAATGAAAGCAGGCAGATGGGCCAGGAAGCGTGTGATCATTGACTAGACCAGCTGTATTCATTTCCTGGGGCTTCCATAAAAAGCACCACAAACTGGGTGGCTTAATACTACAGAAATGTATGTCTCACACTTCTGGAGTTTAGGAGTCTGCTATTAAGGCACAGGCAGGGCCACGTTCCCTCTGAAGTTTCCAGGGAAGGGTCTGTCCCAGGCCTATCTCCCAATTCTAGGTACTCCTTAGTTTGCAGCAGCATAACTCCAGCCTTCACCTGGCATTCTTCCTGCATACATGCCTGTCCCTGTGTCCAAATTTTCTTTGTGACAAGGTCACCAGTCATATTTGATTAGGGGTCCGCCGTACTCCAATATGACCCCATCTTAGCTAACTACATCTGCAACAACCCTATTTTCAATTAAGGGGTACTAGGGGTTAAGACTTCAGGGGTGGGAGGTCTGTACTCAGGGAAGGCATTTGCCTTCTCTCGGATACTGACTTCCTTAAAAAAAAAAGAAAAGAAAAAAAGAAAAGAAAGAAAGAGAAGAAAATTAGAGAAGACTGTCCCTGGAGATAGATTAGAACTTTCACAATCGTTTTATAAAATGTCCTCACATGCTCATTTCTTAATGAATGCTTAATGCTTCCAGGGATTCAAATAAACAAAAACTGATTATCTATTTCCACACTAGATGAAGAACATATTAATAATCCCTTGTGAAAACAATTGAGGTTAGAAGTTACTGAAGATGAATCACACAGAAGGCTGATGGTAACATTAGTATTGAAACTCAGATTTTCCAACCAGAACTCTTTATATGGTAGAGCCTCAGGGAAATATTAGATTTTGGAAGCAGGGAAGGTAACATTTCTGGGAAAGCCAATATTTCCTTCTCACTAGCAAAAGGTCTGGCTTAGAAGATGATTCGTGCCTCCTTCACTGCAGAAGACAGACTTAAATTCCTGAGCAGGAAGCAGTGATTTCAAGGTCAAAGGATATCACCAGCAGTAAATCTCCTTCCCGTCTCCTGGGCATCCTCACAGTGCATCCTACTCAGGCAGCATTATTATTGTATCTCTTTTGTAACTGGAGATATTAAGGCCCAGAGAGTTGGCCACATCTTGTCAAAGGTCCAGGTGGCAGAAATAAGAGTAGTGGAGAGCCACAGGAGTCCTTGTTCTTGCTTTGCCCAAGGGCACATGGTTGGTTTCAACTCTCCCTCATATGAAGAGGCAACTTTACTCATATGTGAAAGAGATGCTGTGACCCACATATGTTTGCTTCTGATTCAAGTGAGAGGAAAAATGTTAGTTCTTTTTTTTTCAGGTGAGAAGCTCACACACACACACACACACACACACACACACACACACAGTTATTACCGCTTTGAGAGCACCATCTCTCAATTGTCTTGACATCAAGAACTTTTTGTTTTCTGGGATTTGAGCTGAAGAAAATTTTTTCAAACCATGAGGAAGAGGGAAAGGTCTAAAATGACCAAGGTTTGCAGCTTCACAGGCTATAAGCCCCAATATATTTATTAAGACAGATGAGACAAAATCCCATATAAATAGATCTTTATACCTATTCTGTTGCCGGTTTGTGTTAAGCTAAAATGTTGGTTTCTGGGAAGCAAAATAGAAAATAATAACCATAATAATATATCAGGAATTTCTGTTAGAATTTGTTCATTCAGAATGACAGATGTTCCTCCTATAATTCTGTATTTAAGGAGACAGAAAGAGAGGTAGAGGAGGTCTCGAAGAGTCATGCTCTTGGGACCTCTGATGTTAATGGACATCTTCCTCAGCTTGTCCTTTGTAAAAGGAAGTTTGCAACCGTTTCTAGTACAGTAATGAATGTCTGACTACAGGACAAGGAAATGGCCAAAATAATGAACAGAATAGACACCATCAAGAACATTACTAATTTGGGGGAAAGAAGACCCACTATTTGACATTGGGTCTTTAACTCTTGGACTTAAAGAAAAGCAAATTTCCCCAAACCGTTTCTAACACTTAAAAAAAAATTACACCAATCTGGATGACAATAAACCCACATTTCATGTAAATAAAACAGTTCATGGCGTCATTTACTATCTCTAATTTCATGTGTGGAGTCATTCTTGAATAAGCCAACTGCATAGCTTCATTAAGACAAGGACTGAAGGTATTAAGATTTTCTTTAATTCAGCATCTGATTCTCCTTTTTCTGTTGTTCCAGAAATTTATTTTTAGCAGTGTATTTGAAAGCATACGTCTTAGGTATGTTTTTCATAATATAAGCTAATTTTTATCCAGTGTCTACTATTTCATCTCACTTTAGAAGTACTCTCACTTAGGCTGGGCACAATGGCTCACACCTGTAATCCCAGCACTTTGGGAGGGCCAGGTGGGCGGATCACCTGAGGTCAGGAGTTCAAGACCAGCCTGGCCAACATGGCGAAACACCTTCTCTACTAAAAATACAAAAATTATCTGGATGTGATGCCACACACCTGTAATTCCAGCTATTCAGAAGGCTGAGGTAGGAGAATTGCTTGAACCTAGGAGGCAGAGGCTGTAGTGAGCTGAGATCACACCACTGCACTCCAGCCTGGGAGACAGAGTGAGACTCCACCTCAAGAAAAAAAAAAAAAAAAAAAAACTCTCGCTTAAAGAATAGCTATGCTCGAGGTGAGGGAAGCTACAAATTTGAGCTAGGAACATTTGAAAACTCTTCTATTTATTTTATTTTATTTTATTTGTTTGATGTATTTATTTTTTTGAGACAGAGTCTCACTCTGCTGCCCAGGCTGGAGTGCAGTGGCCCAATCTTGGCTCACTGCAACCTTCATCTCCCAGGTTCCAGAGATTCTCCTGCCTCAGCCTCCCGAGTAGTGGGGATTACAGGTGCCCACCACCACGCCCAGCTAATTTTTTGTATTTTTTTAGTAGAGACAGGGTTTCACTGTGTTGGCCAAGCTGGTCTCCAACTCCTGACCTTAGGTGATCCACCCGCCTTACCCTCCCAAAGTGCTGGGATTACAGGCATGAGCCACCACGCCCAGCCTGAAAAATCTTCTAATGTTAAGATCTTATAATGTGAAAATTTGTGTTTAAGATATTCCTTAGAATTCATAGTTTTCATGTTCTCTGCACATTCTTGTATTGGACTGTAGAACGGGTGGACCATATAAAAAGTTACCAACTGTCATTTTGGATCCTCATTGGTTTCTCCACTGGTGCTATGAAGCTTGGTTTTCCCAAAGGAGAAATAATGACAGAGTTTGTGCTGACAGTGACCCCAGGGCTGTGTACCCTTTGAGGGTCTGTGCTGCTCCTGGGCTCTGTGGAGCCAAGATAACTAGCTTTGCTCATGGAGATACTTATCCTATTAATATGGCACCAATAAGGACAGGGGAGGTGCTTGTTTTCAGTTTGTCATTTTAATTGAGGTTTTTCTTTATAAATCCACATAAAAGCCCTCTGAGGCATGGGTGTAAGCAGGGATGAGCAGTTTGAAGTGGGATTTGGAGCACGGACTTGGTTTACGGCAGATCTGGATTCAGGTACCTGCCTTGCCACTTGGTAACGAGGTGACTTTGGTCAATTTGCTTAAACTTCCTAAGCCTCAGCTTTCTCGTCTCTAAAATAGACATAATAACAGCATCTTCTTCGTATAGCTGCTATGCTAATTAAATCAGCAATAAGCAAAATTAAGGAGCGGTCAACAATCCCTTGTACATGTGTGTGTGCACCCTGTATCTTTTCCTTTTAAGAACTTCCTCTATTCAATTCCATGGGCTCCTGTTGGGGTTTTCAAATCTGCAGCTTCATTAATCAGTAACACGTATGTAGTATGTAGTGCCTACTACATGCTAGTCACTGTTTTGAATCCTCTACAGACAATAATTCATTTAATCCTCAGAACAACCCTATATATTAGGTATGATTGTATTTATTTTACAGGTAAGGAAACTCACAGAGAAGGTCATAAGACTTGCTGAAATTTACATAGTTATTAAGCGGCTGAGTAGGGATTTGAGAACAGGCATCCAACTCTAGATCTGAACATAACTATTTATCTATAACTACTTATCTATACCATGCAAGTCCATGTCTAGCATGTAAGCTATAATTCAGCCTGGCCAGTTATGTTTCCCCAGCCCTTAGAAACAAGCACTCAGCTGGAGTTGGAATATAAGTTTGCAGCTCCAGATAGTTTCTATTGCAAGGATTGACCTGCTACTCGGGGACAGAACATCACTCTATTTACTCTGAGACTGCTACTTATAAGGGAGACACAAGCCTGGAACTGCTGGGGAGTATCTTTTCAGCTCGTGGAGAGAAGCTGCCTGAGATAAATGTCAACAGCAGGCCAGGCGCGGTGGCTCATGTCTGTAATCCCAGCACTTTGGGAGGCCGAGGCAGGTGGATTGCCTGAGCTCAGGAGTTTGCGACCACCCTAGGCAACATGGTGAAACCCTGTCTCTACTAAATTAGCCAGGTGTGGTGGCATGCGCCTATAGTCCCAGCTACTTGGGAGGCTGAGGCAGGAGAATTGCTTGAACCCGGGAAGCAGAGGTTGCAGTGAGCAGAGATCGTGCCACTACATTCCAGCTTGGGCAACAGAGTGAGACTCTGTCTCAAAAAAAGAAAAAAGAAAATTAAAATGTCAACAGCAGAGCAGAAGCTGAGTTCACCAAATGAAAGAAAAGTAAAGAGATGCAATGGCCTCTAGATCCAGCCAAGCCTTAAATTCCTGACTACATGGGCTAGTAAATTCCTTTTTTAGGTGTAAACTGTTTTGATATGGTGTTCTGGTACTTACCCCATTAAGAAACTTAAAAAATAAAAATGCAGAATAAGCATTAGCAAGCTTTAGCAAATTTAAACATGCAAAATGTACTAATATACCCACACATAGACATATACATATATTAGAGATATTTAGTCAAGACTATGGCAGACTTAATGGAGTCAATTAATAATAACAACTTCACAATAATCATTAATAATAATTTAATCATTATAAGTCTGATTAAACCTGATAAGCAGAGATAGTGAGCATTTTGCCACTAAAGTGTACTGCGCAACACATGCTTGTCTGAATTCGTTAAGGATTTTTACTACAAAAGTTCAAAATCTAGTCTTGCAATACACCTCCTGCTACATAAGATTGGAGGAATTTTAAGAACCCAGAGGTCACAGGCTTTCATAGAATGCATATAAAACACATAAGCTTTAGATAAAATCAAGGAGTTCGGTTGCTATTATATTTAGTCCTTGACTAACTGGTCTTATAATCAATGCATGTCTTAATCTCAGGCTATACATGGCAGAGAAGACAGTAATACTAGAAGTGGCACTTGGGTTTCAGTAGGGACTATAAACCCCCAAACCACTTTCAAAACAGTTGCATTTATTCTTTCAGTTGGGTGATCTAATTTATTAAAGGGACTTATACAACCCTTTAGTATAGGGTTGTATAAATGTACAATGATTTTATATACATTCATATTATATGGAGATAGTGTTATATTGCTATTTTGTACATTTGATATGTACAACTTTATAAACATATATATGCAGTTAGTGTAAATTGAAGCTTGTACATAGACAAGATATATAATATTTTATACAGACATAGAACATGTGTAGTTAGTGTGCTATGTATGTTTGCATATATGTAAGATGCAGTTAGTGTGCTATGTATGTTTGTATATATGTAAGATGTAAAGTCTTATGTGCACGCAGAATATATGCAGCCAGTGTGACATGGATGTTTTCATATATGTAGGGATTTGCACAGCCCATCAGAATTGTGTACTCTGCAAACATTCTTCATTGTATCACCTTGTTGGTGTTTCCATATAGAGACAAACATTCATGTAATTGAGACCAGCCTAAGTACATATAGCAGCACATTCATCATGGCCACACACACATCCCTTTCTTAGCACGAAGCCAAGCAGTCATTCCCAACTCACACCCTCCTTTTTCAGTTTTACTTAATGCTTGCGGAATTTCTGGAGCATTAAAATGGAGCCCTAGTTGCAGAATAAAAAAGAATTATTTTTTTTCAAAAATAGATCTTTCCCTTTTTGTAGTATTTTTTCACTCCTTCTGATTTGAAATGCTGTCATAATTAGTAGCAGATGCTTAATTCAGACAGAGATTTTAAAAAAGGGATCTGGATGGAGTGAAATAAAGGGAAAATTACTAGAGAAAAGTCACTTCTTGTATCTAAATAGAAGTTCTCTGTTAATTTTTTTTTATATTTTCACACATGTAGAACACTGCAACACGCTGACTTATTCTAAATCTCCGTGTTCAACAATTTGTCCATGGCAGAAAATGCTTAAAAATAAAATAAGACCCTAAACACCTACCCCAGGATATGTTATTTATTGACGCTTTGGAAAGATGGCCATTAAAGAGTTTTTAAAAATATATTCCTGCGCTGTTTCATAGTATTTTTACACATTTCTCCCCAAATTCGATCCTAATGATACCAAATGCGTGTGCAGAGAAGGAGATGCATTAGGGAACGAAATAAGTGGAGAGGTATTAGGGAAGCAATTAACATTTATTAGCCATATAATATGTGGAAGGCATTACTTTGTACTAGGTGTTTTACTTACACTAACTATTGTAATCATTATAAAGCTATTGTGTTCCAGGTACTATAATTTATAGTGCAATGGCTAATGTAAATAATGTCACTGATTAAGCACTTTTTATGTTACAATTAATGGGCTGAGGACTTAGATATACTTTTCTAATTTTAATCTTACAGAAAACAGGTGAGTGGGCACTATCTGTACACTAATTTACACATGAAGAAAAGGATGCTTAGAGGGTAGGTAATTTTCCCAAAACACTTAGCTGATAAGTGGCAAAGTTACCAAGCCCACACTTCCAGCCACCTTCATGGCATGGCCTCAATGCTGGGTATACTGCAAAATACTTAGCAGAGGTTCCAATGTGCAATGCATGTTAGAAGAAAACAATAGTTGCCTGGGACCAGGACTGGACACAGGGATCTACTTGGGCAGGCCAAAACTCCAGGCTGACAAAATAGACCAGTGGAATAAATTGGGATACCAAGAAACTAAACTAAATACATGTGGATATTTGATAAATTACAGAGCAGTCAATGTAAATTAAGAGGAGATGGGTGTAAGTTTAATAAATATATTGGCCTTCCCTTGGAAGAAAACATTCACTTCCTACCATATGCAAATTACACCGAAAAGAGTGCCTCCAAGTCTCTCCCAAGTCCAAATCTTGATACTATCAGTCCCATCTTTCTTTCGGTTTTTATACATAACCAACTTTTTCCAGATCCAGATGAAGACGTGATCAAGATGGACAACCATTCAAAAGTCAACACTTGTGGGGTCATATGGAGAGAGAAGAATCTTTGCTAAATCTTTACTGTGTAGAGGAGTAGATCTGCTAAGGAGGATGTTCCTGATTAACATCTTAGTGCATTTGTTTGTTGCTCTTGTTGTGTTGTTGAATGAAGTATGCAAACGAGGGCCATTGTTGAGCTGCTTATAATAAGACTAAGACTGAATAATGTTTATTTTTGTCCTCTTTTTTCTTACACACTTCTTCCTTTCCTCTAAATTAATGTTGAATTATATTTTTTAGAATATTGACTTAGAGTCTCAATTTGTTAGCCAGCCAGGCCTTCCGTGTTTCTTGGCCATCCCTGAAGTGTGATAGGCAGTTCTGCTTTTATTTTCATAGAAAAAATTGAACACAGTTGATGTAACTGTCTAAAGAGTTAGTTCAAAGATGAGAAAAATGCCTCCAGAGAATTTAAAATACTGTGAATCTTACTTATGATGCAAGCTAGTTTTCTTATAAACAATATTTTCCACTTGATTCTGTCTTGAGAACACAATTTTTTTTTTTTTTTTTTTTTTACACGGGGTCTCGCTGTCGCCCAGGCTGGAGTGCAGTGGTGCGATCTCGGCTCACTGCAGGCTCCGCCTCCTGGGTTCACACCATTCTCCTGCCTCAGCCTCCCAAGTAGCTGGGACTACAGGCGCCCACCACCTCGACCGGCTAATTTTTTGTATTTTTAGTAGAGACAGGGTTTCACCATGTTAGCCAGGATGGTCTCGATCTCCTGACCTCGTGACTCGCCCGCCTCGGCCTCCCAAAATGCTGGGATTACAGGCGTGAGCCACCGCACCCGGCCGAGAACACAATATTTTATTTCCATTTCAGCATTACCTAATTCCCATATGGCAATGCCTAAAATCTTTTCTGATGTTAAATACGTTATAAAAGTGACATGTCAAATTTGAAAAATGTCACTAACGTGAAAGTTTTAATTATGAATAATTTTTAAATTACTTTTTTCTCTGTAGTAATAGGCTTGGTATTATGCAAAAACTCTAAAATTTGGAACTGTTTCAAACACTCCAAAAGCTGAAAGGGTCTACTTTTTCTGAGATCCTGATCTGTTTAAGGTCACACAAGTAATGTTCCTTGATTAAGAATCAACTTTTATTTTATTGATTTTCTGTATTAGTTTCGTACCTTCAATTTGGGGGTTTTGTTGTTATTGTTATTTTTCTTTTTTGAAATGGAGTCTCACTCACTCTGCCACCCAGGCTAGTATGCAGTGACGTGATCTTGGCTCACGGCAACCTCTGCCTTCTGGGTTCAAGTGATTCTTGTGCCTCAGCCTCTTGAGTAGCTGGGATTACAGGTGTGTGCCAAAAAACTCAGCTAATTTTTGTATTTTTAGTAGAGATGGGGGTTTCACCACATTGGCCAGGCTGGTCTCGAACGCCTGACCTCAACAGATCCACCTGCTACAGCCTCCCAAAGTGTTGGGATTACAGGTGTGAGCCACCGGGCCTAGCCTCTATCTCCAATTTGATTGTTTCCTACTCATATTTTCATCATTTCCCACTTTTACTTGTTTTGGTTTTATTTTTCTCCTTATTTTCTGGTATCTTCAGGTAGAAACTTAGGTTGTTGATTTGAGATCTTTGTTTCTTTGTTTCTAATAAAAAGATTTAGTGCTGTAAAGTTTCATCTTAGCACCACTTAGTTGCATCCCATACATTTTGATATATGGTGTTTTCATTTTCATTCAGTGTTATGTACTTTAGTGCCTTCAAGACCTCCTTTTTTACACATAAATTGTTCATAAGCATGTGGTTTAATTTCCACATATTTGGGGGGGTGTCCTGTTGTCTTTCTGTTATTAATTTCTACTTTGATTTTATTATAGTGAGAAAACACATTCTGCATGATCTTAATTTTTCTAGATTTGTTGAGCTTAATTTTATGGTCCTTAATATGGTCTACCTTGGTTGAATATTGCATGGGTACTTAAAAAAAATGAGCATTCCTCTGTTGTTGGAATGAATGTCAATTAGATCCTGTCAATTGATTTTGTTGTTCACATTTTCTATATCCTTGTTAATTTTCTGAGTAGTTGTTCTATCGGTTGCTGAGTTTATTGATGTCTCCAACTTTAACTGTGGATTTTCTGTTTCTCCTTTTCAGCTCTATTAGTTTTTTTCCATGCATTTTGAGGCTCTGGTGTTTGGTGTGCACATATAAAGGATTATTGTCTTTCTGGTTGATTTATCCTTTTATCATTATGCAGTGTTCTCATTTCTCTTTAGTAATTTGCTTTGCTCTGATGTCTACTTTACCATATACTAATACAGCTACTCCAGCTCATTTTTTTAATGATGGCATTTCATATCTTTTTCCATCCTTTTGCATTCAACCTACTGATGTCATTGAATTTGAAGTGAGTCTCTTTTAAGTAACATACAGTAGAATCACACTATTTTTATCCTCTCTGCTAATCTCTGTCTTTTGATTGGTGTATTTACATTATTTATATATTCATATAAGGTAAATATAGATTTTTTTGTTTTTAAATCTGTCACTTTACAATTTCCTTTCTATGGTTTTCCATTCCTGTTTCTCTTCTCTTACATTCCTGCAGGTTATTTGAACTTTATTTAGGATTCATTTTGATTGGTTTATGGCATTTTAGAGTGTATATTTTTGTGTAGGTTTGGTAGTGGTTGCTCTGGATGTGTCCCAAATATGCTTATATGATGTATTACAATCACTAGTGTCAACATTTTACCACAAGTAAAGTGTGAAAACTTCACTGCCATTTAGGTTATTTTTGCTTTCCTGCTTTTAATTGTCAATTGTCTTGAGTTTTAGATGGTACTTTTTGTTTCAATAATCAAATATGATTTTCAAAACTCATGAAGCAAAAAGTAGTCCATTGGACATATCATTTCTGTTCTTTTTATTTGTCCTTCGTAATTCCTGATGCATCTAAGCTCTTTCATTTTCTTTCTGTTTCTTATTTTAACAATTTTTAATGGTAGGTCTACAGCAAATTCTTTTAGTTTTCCTTTATTTCTGATGAATAGTTTCACCAGATACAGAATTCATGGTTCTTTTCTTTCAGCACTTGAAAATATTATATCACTTCTTCCTATCTTCTGTGGTTCAGAGGAGAAATCCACTGTTCTTTAAATTGTGTTTCCCTAAAGACAATTTATCATTTCGCTTTGGTGCTTTCACATTTTTTACTTTTTGGTCACTTTTCAGAAGTTTAATTATGAAACAATCTGGCATGCATTTTTTGCACGTGTCCTGTTTGGAGTTTTCTCAGCTTCTGGGATATGTAGGTTTGTATCTTTCACCAAATTTAGGATGTTTTAAGCTATTCTTTCTTAAAACAATCTTTCAGCTGCTTTCTTACTCCTCTCCTTTTGGAAATGCAATGATACAAACATTGAGTCTTTTCGTATTGTCTCACAAGTCACTGAAGCTCTATTTATTTATTTATTTCAGTCTATTCCCTCTCTGCTATTCAAACTGGGTAAATTTTCTTTTTCTTTACTTAAATTCAGTGCTTCTGTCCTCTGTTATCTCCATTCTATTATTGAGCTCACGTTGTTACTGTATTTTTTAGTTATAAAATTTCCACTTGGTTTTTTAAATAGCATTTACTATTTCACTGAGATTTTATATTTTCTTTTGTTTAGAAAGATTTTGTAATTGATTGTTGAGACACCATTTTCTGATGCCCGCTTTAAGTTTCTTTTAGATAATTCCAATATCTTATTCATCTTAGCATTGGCATCAGTTGATTTTTTTTTCATTCAAGCTGTGATTTTTTGGCATCCTGATATGGTAATTTCTATCTTATTCTCTAAAATTTGTCAATTATCTTAGGAGACTACTTTTATGATTCTCATTCCTATTTTTCTTCTCTTACAATGCCGCAGGTTATTTGAACTTTGTTAGGATTCCATTCTGATTTATTTAGTGTTTTACAGCACATATTTTTGTGTATGTTTGGTTGTGGTTGTTCCGGGTGTGTCGCAATATACTTGTGTGATGCATTGCAATCTACTGGTGTCAACATTTTATCACAACAGCTGAAGTGTGAAAACTTGCTTTCATTCAGTTTTTTTTTTTAACTAGGCAGTTACCCTGTTGATGTTTAGCATGTGGGTCTTGGTCAGTTTTGTGGACTATGGTTCCAAAGAGAGCTTAATTTTCAGAGCCCTTGTGATATTATTTTGGTCTGCTTGGTTTATCTAGTGGCACTAGAGCTCTCATGGATCCCTGCTGGCTTTGCCTAAGGGGCTAAAAGGGATTTCTCCAGGCCAGACTGGTAGGTGTCTTTCAGAAGGGAGGGGGTTTGGCGGTGGGATCCCCTTACCAGAGTCCTTCAATTAGCCTAATGTCTCTGGGCAGAAGAAAGGAGTCTCCAGCCCACAAGGACAAAGAGGCTTCCTAGACTGTGCTGCTTCTTGGGCCCCTCACCCAAGTGTCAACACTTTTATACCATGTTAGTTTACTATTGCTTCTGTAACAAATTATCACAAACTTAGTGGCTTAAAACAGTACAAGTTTATTTTCTATTTTGGAAAGAGAGAAGTCTGAAATGGGTGTCTCTGGGCTAGAATTAAGGGTCCCTTCCTAGATCCCCTAGGGTAGAACCCATTTTCTCATCTTTTGCAAACTCTAGAGGCTTTCCAGTTGCTCACCTTGTGGCCGTCTTTAATCTCCAAGGCCAGCAATGGCTGGTTAAGACTTTCTCATGCTATGTAACTCCAACCTAACAGTCTCCATCTTCTGCCTCCTGTGTCATTTCTAAGAACCCTGGTAATAGCATTGAGCTCATTCATATAACCCAGGCTAATCTTCCCATCTCAAGATCAGCTTCTTAGCAACGTTAATTCTATTGGCTACCTAAATTTCCCCTTGCCATGTAACCTATCATATTTACTGGTTCTGGGGTGTCTTAGTCTGTTTTGTGTTGCTATAAGGAATACCACAGTCTGGGTCATTTATAATGAACAGAAATGTATTTGTCTCACAATTCCAGAGGCTAGAAAGTCCAGGATTGAGGAATCGTATCTGGTGACGACCTTTTTGCTCCGTCATAAGATGGCGGAAAGCATCACATGGGTGAGAGAGAAAGGAAATTTGGCCGAACTTTTCATTTTATAAGAAACCCACCCTCATAATAATGGCATTAATGTATTCATGAGGGCAGAGCCTTCATGACCTAATCATTTTTTATAGGCCCCACCTCTCAATACTGCTGCATTCGGGGTTAAGTTTCTAACACATAATCTTTGGGGAACATATCCAAACCATAGCATGAGAATTAATATCTGGACAATTATGGGGATGAGGCAATTATATTGCTTGCAACATCTACCTCAATATCTCCAGGTGCCCTTTTCCCATTGTGGTCCGCACCTCATTGTAGAACTTGTGAACTCCAGGCAATTATCCTTCGTTAAGACAAAAAGAATTCTCTTGCAATATGTTGTTGCAGGTATAAAGCATAATATAGCAAATAATCATGTGCTCAGTACTTTAGGGATGAAAATTGTGAATATAATTTATGAAATCTCTAAATTATAAATCCCTAATTTTAATCCCTCCATGGAAACCTCTATTTGTGGGGATATTCTTTTAACTTTGGGTACTTCTTGGCATGAAAACTTAAAAGCACTGTTTATAATTTCGAGTAGGAATACACATAAAGGAGAAGTTTTATATTTGCTGTGATTTAGTATACGGTCTACTAATATTTCAAAAAGATATCTATTTCAATATATTTTACTTCATCTCATCTAATAAATTCCTTGTAAGCAGCAATGCTAGTAATTTTAAAATCTGTTAAAATATTATTGGTCAATATCAAGTTTGTCATAAATTTACCCTAACTTTGGAAACAGGCCCAGTAGCCAATTTTGCATTGTTTCTTGCAAAGGATCCGTAATTCACAATTATCATTGACTTAAATATAAGATATTTAATCCTGTGAAGCACAGGGTTTGTTTGAATAAAAAATGATTCCCCTTTAATTAGAGGTTTTCATCAAGCTAATTTCGGCATACTATTCAGTCCATGGTCTCCGCATTGCTAGCACCACTTTTAATATGGAGAAGGACTCAAGAAAGGACTCAGGGGAAGAGCAGAGTTAGAAAAATAACCAAAATATGTGTTGGGGACACAGAAAGCTCTAAGCCGCCTGTTTCAGCAAAAATATAGACGTTTGGGTTCTTTGATTGTGACAGTGTGTGATTCAAGTAATCAAAACATCTTGGTGAGGCATTTATTTTTGGTCTCCAGACAGGGATGTTGGAAGCTATGGGAAACTATCTGTCTGCTGTCAGTCTCTGGGTGTGACTTTGGAAAAAATGGGGTGTAAGGGCTCCCTGCCCTTCCTTTTCTGAAGGAGTTACTCCTCAGCCCGGCTGCGGGGCGGGAATTGACGTCACCGACGTGCTGGGTGTTGGTGGAGGCTGCACGTGTGATCCACTAGGGGGCACTGAGTGTCCTCGAAGGTCAATGGAAACGCCTTTAAAACACGTGGGTGCCAAGTCAGCCCATTTAAGCCAAAGATCATGCAACAAGCATTTGACACCAAAGCTAAAGCTCCCCTTCCAGAGAAAGAATTTGGGCTGCTGGGAAATTTTATTTGGGAAAATTACGTTTATTAACGACTTTGGAGCTATATAGTCCCAGACAGTAAGGTTTTACTGAGAAAATATCAGTATCCACACTAAAGTTTTCTAACGCTTTTAGTATTTGGGAGCTATTGGAAAATCTAGACAGTTCACTCAATTAGGAAATAATATCCTAAAAATATAACCAGTGTAATACCACGAAAATGTCAAATTTTCAGCAAATTCTTCTTTATCCCGGTTAAATTGGTACTGTGGAAACATGCTCTAGAAAATACTTTATTTTGCAGTAGTGATCATTGCCCTGACAATTGCCTTTCTTGTTAAAATGGGGCTCACAATGTGTATTGATTTCTGTGATAAGAGACACTGAAAGGTTCCATGGAAAATGAATACAGGGCTGCATCAGTGGCACCTGCTGAGGACCAATGGCCAGAGTGAGCTGTGTTCATGCTGGCTCAACAGGTGTCTCAGAGCCAGAAAACCACAACAGCTGGGCAGCTGTGCTTTTCCTCACCCCTTGGAGTGCAGCCTCCTCAGGCCGTGGCTGCAGAATCATGAAGTAGAGGCCATGGCCACTCTCCTTGCTCATTTGCCATGCTCACCCTGTGCTGCCGCTCAGCTGCATGGGCAGGTGTGATGGCTTCCTTACCCATCATTTACTCTAATCAGGTGGAGGGGGGCTTTTCCCTTTCACCTGAGGTCAAGGCTGCCTCAGCATAGAAAACACATCTCCAAGAAAAGATGAGGACATTTGGCGTTCGAGGAAAGTGCTAATTTTCCTGGGTTTGTGTGTTTTTGTTTGATTAAGAAAAATTGTATTTGGATAAACAAACACTGGCCATTATCATATTCAGTCCCTCCACTGTGTGGAACCCTTCCCGTGTCAGGAACATCTCTTATCACTTATACACATGGATTTTTTTTAAAAAACCAGCAACAATTTATTTACAAGATATGGGTCCATCTAAAGACAAGAGAAGCCCAGCAAATTCCTCTTTTTCTTTTAAAGAGCAATGTCAACACAAGTTGACAGAAACTGTGGCATATATTAATATTGACATTTTCTAAATAAATACTGTCAACACATGCAAAAGCATTGTAACATAATTATGGTAGTCACTTGTAATTATGGCATTTGTTAAAATGTTAATTTACAGCAACTGCAAATTCGTATTGGGGAAATAAGATGTAAGCTTCAAGTTGTTCAAGGACTGTCTTCTTCCCGTCCTTCAATGGCACTCTCTTAGTGCCGCAGCTTTCCTTGCAGATAACTCTAAAGAATTCACCTGAGATCAATAAGGAATTCAGTATAATATAGTTTGGATACTTGTCCACACTCAAATCTCTTGTCGGAATGTAATCCCCATCGTTGGAGGTGGAGCCTGATGGCAGGTGTTTGGGTCATGGGAATGGATCCCTCATGGCCTGGTGCTGTCCTTGCAATAGTGAGTGAGTAGCTGCAAGATCTGGTTGTTTAAGTGTGTGGCACCTCCAGCCTCACTCTCTTCTGCTCCCACTCTTTCCATGTATGGTGCCTGCTCCCATTTCACCTTCTGCCATGAGTAAAAGCTGCCTGAGGTCTCCCCAGAAACAGAGCGGATGCTGGCACCATGCTTGTACAGCCTGCAGAACTGTGAGCCAATTAAACCTCTTTTCTTTATAAATGACCCAGTCTCAGGTATTTCTTTACAGCAATATGAAAACAGCCTAACACAAAGGGCCCACGCAAATGGCCCAACAAGCATCCTCCAGTCACACCCCCACCCCCCACCATGAAACATCCACTTGAGTTGATCAGTCTTCAGTGGTGAGGAACATGGATTTAGAGTCAGAGAGGAATGGGTTCCATTCCTGAAACTGATACTTGCTATGTATAAAAGTTATATTTTAGGTAAATCCAATTTTCAAATCCATAAAATGTGAAAAATTAGAGTACCTGGTTCATTGGGTGGTTAGGGAGAAAATGAGATACTAGATGTGAAGTAATCAACACCACTATTACCTTTTAAGTCTACTTCTCAGTTAATAATAACTGTCATTATTAATTATAAAATAACGTTATTATTCTTTTTCCAAATAGAAATATTTATTAATAATAAGTTTTACTCTGCAATTTTGCTATGAATTTCTGAAGATGAAGGACTGATATTTTTCCAGTCACTGGTCCTAGCACAGCACTATTTATGAAGATGAGGTTTAGTGAGTATTGGAAACATGGGCTCAGAGAACCAAAAGTAATAGCAGACATTTCATATTCTGCCTTTAAAAATAGTTAGATGGCACAGCAACATACCTATAATTATCTAAGCAGATTATATACAAAATTTTAGTTTAGTTGCACCCCAAACTAAATTAATGCAATAGTTTTAGCTTACTGCAGAATTGAAAAATTATATTTTTTCCATTATCAAAACAAAAAGCACACTCTCATGCATTTTCTCTCTCTCTCACACACACACACACACACACACACACACACACTCTGTCATCTTTTTCCCTCCCTCCTAAAACCAAATGGCAAAATAAAGATTTAAAAATGTCTAGAGATGGGAACACAAATGTTTGTTTTATTATTCTCTATACTTTTCTGCAGGATTGATATGTGTCTCAAATTTTTTTTAAAAAAATTAATGTTTGTTTCTCTGGATCAAGCAACATCTTTCCAGATGAGAGTCTTGTCTAATGATACATGATAAAGATTTAACAACTGGATCTCTGAAAATAAACCCTGAATTTTTAGTGTTTGCCAATTTCCTTGGTGTAAATACACCCACAGTGGCCAATTTCAGGGAAACTCAAACCTAGAATTAGAGAGAGATGCATACAATCAGCCCTTGAAAGCCAAATCCAGAACACCACAAGACTTCAAAAACAGTTTTTTGCTAGTGGTAGTACCATGAAGTAAAGCTCAAAAAATAAGATTAATTCCAGCACAAAATGTCCCTTGATCACAGGTATTTAATCCAGACTTTAGTTTTGGACTATGGCAGTCACACAAACTTTGGATGGATTTTTTTTTTTTTTTGAGTCCCAGTATTGAGCAGGAAAAAAAATTGCTGCACAACTGTGATGAATGCATTTATTAAAATTCAGGTGAGCAAATATTGTCTATATAGTAGTTCTTTTTTTATATGAAAATCTTGGTTTCTTGATTTCTTTTTATTATTATTATTATACTTTAAGTTTTAGGGTATATGGTAGTTCTTAACCTCTTTTCGATGACATAAGCTTTTTGGATAATATGACGAAAGCTGTGAACCTCTTATAAGGAAAGCACACAAGTAACAGGATGTTGAAATGGGACTCTGTCTTGGTTTGGCTGGTCCCAAAATGCCAAGGTTAAAACAGGCAGGTCAACTGCCTCCTCATCCTGCAGCTTCAGTGATCAGCGGAACCACCCAGGCAGTATATGCTGAGTCAGAGTGCCAGGGCTTCAGCATCGCTGGTCGTCTGCTGAACCTGCACAGGCAGGATACTCCAAGAGAGCCTTAGAGGGGCTCTCAGACACTACCCGTCACTTGCCTCTTTCCAGAATGAGGTGTTAAGTCAAAGGCCAAAAGCAATGAAGTCTTTTAATAGGGTTGCTGAGGCAGACTGTATTTTCTGATATTCATGGGGGACAGTGTGGGGTGCCTTCCTTGCATCAAACTAAGTTGGAGTTTTCAAGAGAAAAACAAAATGTAACATAAGATACTTGGGAGTTGCAAAAATGAAGAGAGGAATATAAGCCCCACCAGAAGAAATTTAAAAGTGAAGAATTTTGGTTGTAACTGACAATCTGACGACAGGCAAAGACAGAAGGAGGAGGCATGGAGGGTGAGTGTCACTCCTACCAATGGCGAAGGTGTGTGTTTTCTGGGGATGACATGTGACTCCGCTCTTCTTCTTTGTGAGAGAGAATTGGCTTGGGAACATTTTTAAGGATTTTACCATGGAAAGTGTCCAAGGGAGGGCAAAGGAACTACAGCAAACAGAGGCTGCACAGGTTGAGTCATGGTAACCCAAGAGGCTGAAGGGCAAGTCATGAGTAGACAGAGAAGCAGTAGCCACATCAAGACAGCTGAGTCAGAGGACTCCAGGTTGGGGGTGTCCGAGGAGACCAGGTAAGCCCACATGGAAGAATTGTATACTGACATTGAACACTGCATATGTATTTATAATGGCCAAACAATTTACTGAATAGTAAGTTTAAAGCTTACTATAAAGTTACAGGAATCAATGCAGTAATCAATTCAGTGTATTTTTGGTATACACAGAGATGAGCACCGATGGAACAGAACAGAGTTTAAAAACAGATCAGCACATATGACTCACTGATTTTCAACCAAGGTGCCAATGCAATTCAGTGAGGAAAAGGATAATATTTCAACAAATATTGCTGGAAGAACTAGATTTTCTAAAAGAGAAAAATGAACTTTATTTCCTTATACCATAAATAAAATTACTTGAAATGGTACCTAGACCTTAATGTAAGAGACAAAATTATAAAACACCCCTAAGAAAACTTAGGAGAAATCTTTAAAAACTTCATGTGGGAAAGTATTTCTTATATGGAACATCTCCCCAAAAAAGCATGAACAAAAAATAAAAATAATTCATTTTTATGAAAATTAAAACTTCTGCTCTATGAAAGACATCATCGAAAAATGGAAAAGGCAAACTACAGACTTCAATAAAATATTTATAAAATATGTACCCAACAAAGAATGTGTATCCAGAATATACTGGAACTCAATAATAATTACTCTTATCATAATAATAATTTAATAGCTCTTATAGTTCAATCATAAGAAGACAAGGATGATAAATGTGAAAAAGATTTGAGCAGACATTTCATAAATAAATAATATGAGTGTCTAATAAGTCCATTAAAATATTCTAAATATTATTTGTGGACCAGGCTTGGTGGTTCACACCTGTAATCCCAGTACTTTGGGAGGCTGAGGCAGGAGGATGGCTTGAGCCCAGAAGTTTGAGGCTGCAGTGAGCTGTGATCACACCACTGCACTCCAGCGTGGGTGACAGAGTGAGACCTTGTCTCGAAAAAAATAAATACATAAAAATAAAAAAAGAATAAAACCATACAATTACATCTATTAGAATGGCTAAACCGAAAACAACTGACTGTAACAACGGCTAGTGAGGATGTCGAGCAACTGTAACTCTCATACATTGCTGGTGATATTGCAAATTCACTGATCCTTTCTCCTTTGATGTCTAAACTAGTATTTATTACATCAGCAATATTTCAGCTCAGATACTGTATTTTCATGTCCAAAAGTTTTATTTGTGTTTTTAACATTTCATTTCTCTATTAGCTTCATGTTTTCCTTGTACATATTTATAGGAGCTGTTTCACATTCTTGTCTGCTATTTTCACGCTTGGTCATTTCTGGGTATGCTGTTACTGGCTGAATTTTCTTCTGTGTATAGGTCACACTTTTTTTCCAGTAGTATTACATGCCTAGTAGTTTTTTATTTAATGCTGGACATTTTGTATTTATATTAAGTGTCTGAATATAATTTGGAAAGTAGTTACTTTCCAAACCTTTCCAGTCCAGCTGATCTTATAATTTGCTATGACCAACAGAATGTGGAACTCACATCTTTGTATGAGTTCTAAGCCTCAGGTTCATGAATTTTTGCAGCTTCTGCAATTGCAGTATTTGGAGTCCTACCAGTTCCGTATGAATAAACTCAAGCTAGGCTAATGGATGAGGGCAGTCACATACCCTACATGTCTTTGTCCACTGCCAATAATCACCCGAGTGACAGACACATGACAAGAGCTACCCAGGACTAGCACACCCCTTCAGTCCAACAGAGTCACCTTTGACATATGAGTAGTTCATCCAAAACCCAACCAAAATTGCTGACCCACAAAACCTTGAGATAAATAGTTAGTGCTTTAAGTTTCTATTGTGGGAGAAGTTCCTTAGAACACACTCACTGATACAGTGGTATTTAGCATATTAATACACCCCTTATTCACTTTTCTCCCATCCTTGTCTCACCTTTCCTACTCCCTGACTTCGGTTTCCTTGAATTACTTTCTAATAAGCTACATTATCCCAAACTCTTTCCCAGGCTCTGATTTCAGAGGAACCTAAACTAAGACAAGGAATAAGAACTTTTCTCTAGTTTTCATTTTGCAGACTGAAGCTCTGCATCATCTTTATGTAAACCACTCCCATCATGTTATCACCTACTATAGTGTCCATCTTTAATTTTCTTTTTTTTTTCTGAGACAGAATCTCACTCTGTCACCCAGACTGGAATTCAGTGTGGGGATCATGGCTCACTGTAGCCTCAACCTCCTGGGCCCAAGCAATCCCCCCAACTCAGCCTCCTAAGTAGGCGGGACTACAGGCACACACCACCATGCCAGGGGCAGATATATATATATTTGTTTGTTTGTTTTTAGAGACAGGGTCTCACTATCTTGACCAGGCTGGTCTCAAACTCCGAGACTGAACCAATCATCCCGCCTTGGCCTCCAAAAGTGCTGGGCTTACAGGTGTGAGCCACTGCACCCAGCCAATTTTCTTATCATGAAGGAAGAACATAAAGTACCTGGAAAGCAATCTGTGTTAATAAGCCTCAATTTTTAAAATTTTATCTAATTTTTAGAATATCTTGTTTATACCTAATATGGCAGGAAGCCTCTAAGATGCTGACCCACCTACGTGTTTTGGAATTTCACACCATTATGTAATCCTTTCCCTTTGAGTATAGGCAGGACCTGTGAATGGCTTCTAACCGACCGGATTTAACAGAAGTGATGGAATGCCATTTGTCTGATGAAATTGCCTAAGCTCTGGCTGTCATCTTGCTGGCTGACTCTGTTACCTTTTTGGTTTGCACATGTTGATGTAGCAAGTGACAATGCTGGAGAGGCTCACGTGTCGAGACTGGAGAGTAGCTTTCAGCCAAGAGTCTGAAAGAAACTGAATTCTGCCAGCAATCACATGAGCTTGGAAGCTGATCTTTCCCTGGTCACACCTTCCCATGAGATCTCAGCCTTGGCTGGCACTTTGATTGCAGCCCTGTGAGAGACCATAATACAGAGGACCAAGCTAAGCTATGCCCAGACTCCTGACCGAATCTGTGAGATAATAAATATGTGTTGTTTTCATCTTCCTCATGTGTGGTAATGTGCTATGCAGCAATTGATAAGTGATACACTAAGTATGAAAGTACTTTTAAAGGAACTCACATAAAGATGTCCAATGCATTTAACTTAGTTTTCAGGGAAATAAGCCTTTGTTTCATTGTTTTGGTTTGTTTGTTTGTTTGTTTTGGTTTGGCTTTGGTTTTAAGATGAAGGCTTGCTCTTTTGCCCAGGCTGGAGTACACTGGAGCAATCTCGGCTCACTGCAACCTCCGCCTCTGGGGTTCAAGTGATTCTCCTGCCTCTGCCTCCTGAGTAGCTGGGATTACTGGTGCACACCACCACGCCGGGCTAATTTTTGTATGTTCTGTAGAGATGAGGTTTCACCATGTTGGCCAGGCTGGTCTCAAACTCCTGACCTCAAGTGACCCACCCACCTTGGCCTCCCGAAGTGCTGGGATTATTCTTTCATTGTTTTATGTCAGTTGTACTAAAGTATAGCTCGCAAGCAATAGAATTCACCCATTTAAAATTTACCATTAGAAGTGTTTTGACAAAGGTACACTGTCATGTGACTATCATCACAGTTGGCAAAGTTTCTTAACAGTTTTATTGAGGTGCAATTTACATACCAAAATATCCAGTCCATTGAAGTGTATAACTAAATGATTTTTAGCAAATTTCTAGCTTCCCTCCTTTTTATACTCCTTCTCCATCGATTAATATAGTATTTAAGTATATTAAAAATATAGAAGTGATGTTAGGGAAAAGAGCAAAGTAGGAAGCACCAGAAATCTGTCTCTACACCAAGAAAACAAACGTGCTTGCCAAACCTGTCTCTTGTGATCATTTTGAAACGTTAGAGTCTATTCTAAAGATTGCACCTTCCAGGAGAAGGTTTGAAAAGTGAATTGTGGTTTTTCCTACATCAAAGTTCCAGACCTGCCCCCGTTCAAGCTGCATCACTGATGACCACACCCCTCACATGAGACCAGGAGACCAGATTCCCTCCAACCTCTGCCAGGGCGCCCTTGCCCAGAGGCTATCAACGTATGGCCTCCAGACCAGCAACGTCAGCGCCACCTGGGAACATGTTACAACTGCAAATTCCCAGGCTTCAGCCCAGCAACTCTAGGGTGGGGATGACACCCTAAGTCTGCACGATACGACTTTGCTGCATATTAGCATTAACTGGGAAGACTTTAATTCCCTGTCCCCAGTGCCCACGTCATGCCAAGGCGCCAATTAAAGCACCTGTTTGGGGTGGAACAAGATAGCATTAATTTGTAAGGATCCTCAGGTGTGCAGAAGGATGGGGACCGTTGATGTGTGGTTTCCAAGCCCTACAAGTGATGCTCATGATGCTGATGTGTGAGCCCTTGGCCTCAGTCTTCCCACCTGTGGATAGGGGATTGGAACAGCCTCTTCTTCCTCACCCACTAGGGCACAGCCAGATTCCTGAAATGCGAAAGGGTGAACAGCAAGTAAAATACACACGAAAAAGGCTAAAAATACTGACTCCCAGCAACCAGGCCTTTTTTTTTTTTTTTTTTTAAGGGAGTCTCACTCTGTCTCTAGGCTGGAGTGCAGTGGTGAGATCATGGCTCACTGCAACCTCTGCCTCCTGGGCTCAAGCGATTCTCCTGCTTCAGCCTCCCAAGTAGCTGGGGCTAAAGGCATGCACCACCATGCCCAGCTAGTTTTTTGTTTTTTTAGTAAAGATGGGGTTTCACCATGTTGGCCAGGATGGTCTCGATCTCCTGACCCTGTGATCCACCCGCCTTGGCCTCCCAAAGTGCTGGGATTACAGCCGTGAGCCGCCGCACCTGGCTGCAGCCAGGCATTTTTTAAGCCAACCACAGGAAGCCATTCGGGAGCCAGCAGGGCTGGCTGATATTATCTGATGGATAATTTAAAGAACGTGTGTCTCAACTCGCTCATCCACAGGAGATTGTGGATCATCCCTGGAGATTATAAAACTCACTCTCCATCTTCATGAATGTGGATCTCAGTGACTGGGGAGGTATTGTTTAATGGGCAAGGAGTTTTAGTATGGGATGATGAAAAAGTTCTGGAGCTAGATGATTGATGATGGTTACACTACATTGTGAATATTCTCAATGCCACTGAACTTTACACTTAAAAATGGTTAAAATGGTTAACTCTGGGTTTTGCTTATTTTATCACAATAGAAAAAGAAAACCAGGGACACACACACATGACTACAAACAAAACTGGGTAAATCTGTATGTATATTGTTGTTTTAAGTTTCTATTATGAATCTTACAGGGTATATACCCAAAGTATTATAAATCATGCAATGAGCAAAGACACATGCACACATATGTTTACTGTGGCACTGTTCACAATAGCAAAGACTTGGAACCAACCCAAATGCCCATCAGTGATAGACTGGATAGAGAATGTGTCACATATACACCATGGAATACTATGCAGCCATAAAAATGGAGGAGTTCATGTCCTTTGCAGGGACATGGATGAAGCTGGAAACCATCATTCTCAGCAAACTAACAAAAGCACGGAAAACCAAACACTGCATGTTCTCACTCATAAGTGGGAGTTGAACAATGAGAACAAATGGACACAGGGAGGGGAACATCACACGCACCGGGGCCTATCAGGGAGTGGGAGGGATAGCATTAGGAGAAATACCTAATGTAGATGACGGGTTGATGGATGCAGCAAACCATCATGGCACGTGTATACCTATGTAACAAACCTTAATGTTCGGCACTTGTATCCCAGAACTTAAAGTATAACAAAAAAAAATTTAAGTTTCTATTATGTATAGAGTATAGGCAGGACCTGTGAGTAGCTTCTAACCAACTATATATACGAGTACAAATAAATCTGGGTAAATCTATATACATACAGATTTATGTTTTATGTCAGCTTTACTAAAGTATAGCTCACAAGCAATTAAAAAAAAAAACTTTACTTGTCCATAGCCCTTTTGCATGTCAGGCATCTGGTTGTACCCTAATGGGTGAGGAGAGAGGCTGTTTCAATCCCCCATCCATTTGTAAATCTATTTATATACAGAGTCACCCAGTTTTATTTGTATTCATACATACACACAGAACTAAAAGAGATCTATCCTAGGAAGAGAAATTAATTTACTTGGAAGTGAATAGGGTGAACTGCGGCAGATAAAAATGAAGGTGAGGGGATCAATGAGGAGATCATCAGAAAGCCCAGTTCCAGATAATGATTCGTGTCACAAAAAGAAAGGAAGCAACTGACCCCAGAAAGATTAGGGAGCTAATTCAAAGGATAAAATAAGGGGCCAGGCGTGGTGGCTCACGTAAGTAATCCCAGCACTTCGGGAGGCCGAAGTGGGCAGATCACTTGAGGTCAGGTGTTTGAGACCAGCCTGGACAACATGGTGAAACCTGGTCTCTACTAAAAATACAAAAAAGTGAGCCAGGCATGGTCACACATGCCTGTAATCCCAGCTACTCAGGAGACTGAGGCAGGAGAATCGCTTGAACCCAGGAGGCAGAGGTTGCAGTGAGCCGTGATCACACCACTGCACCCTAGCCTGGACAGCAGACTGAGACCCTGTCTCAAAACAAAAAAAAAAAAAGGGAAGAAAAGGGACCAGATATGGGGTCAAGGAAGCCAGTGATATTACAAATGACTGTGTCACGCCCTCATGTGTTAAAACGTGTTGTGAACAGAGGAGATATGATCTGATACCTGGAACACGTGCACCCCAGGTATAGAAGAGAGTCTGAGACATACAGATTATACCAGAACCTGGAGACTGTTTGCACAGACCAAACAATCCCCTGAGCATGAAACAGGCACGGGAGAAACAGAAGACTCCAAAAGATAAAAATGACCTAAAATAACCTAAAAGTTTACATTGGGATGGGAGAAAGCAATGTGGGTACTTTTTTTAAAGTGAGTACATTGGAATCTGGTTTAAAAAGCAATCTGGCTAAGAATGCCAACGCAGAGTAAAATGATCTCAGTGTGGAGAAGGAAAAACTGAATAGATTGTGGGCTTTATTCTTTATTACAAAGGTATTGCACAAAATAATACATATTTTTCCTGCACAGGCTTTCAGCTAAATGTGCAGAAGAAGCCTTGGTTGGATTCATAATTGATCATCGGTCCACACGTAGCCCTCTCCCTCTCTAAGTTCTTTGTAACAGAGAACACGCATCTGAAAATGCTGAGAAAATGAAAAATAAAGGCTTAATTTGGTATTTTAGGCTTTTATTAGGCTTAAATTTATCACTTTTTTATTAAATGGAAATCTTCAGCTCCTGCTAACAATTGGCTCAATCATGTTGGCTTCTATTTTATCCCATGATGAATAGTAATTAATTGCACATCAATAGTTCTTATGCTTTGAACTAAATCAAGATGTAGGAACGTGCTTACATATAGACAAGTAATGCCAGTATGAATAATCAACTAGAAAAAAAATGGGTTAAAATTCCTTTGGTTTGCACAGGACTGATGGTTGATTGGAGCCTTGTTATGCAAATAATGTTCACCACTGAGAGATGAAAGATAAGAAAAAAAACTGCACTACCAAATGAGGTGGATATTCCCTATTTGATTTATTTTTTATGTACCTTTCCAGTTTCTTTTCTTAATATCATCCTATTTATTAGGCTAAAATTATTTTTTATTCATTGAACAGTTTTGGAGTAAGTTCTAAAATGAAGGCCCAATATTATGTGCTCCCTTGACATCTGGAGGAATCAGGAGAAACTCAAATTGATTAAGCCCAAGTTCCACTACCCACCTGCTCTCACAGATAAGATCCCCTGGCTCAAAAACCCTCCTTATCAAACAGACCAGGCACAGCTCTTGGTCCTGAGAAGCAGCCTTTAGTTTTTTGCCAACCAGTGGAATTATTCCAACAAGCCAATCGTATCTTCCTGTGAGAATGAGGGTCACCCTGGCCTCTTTATACTACAAAGCCTGCCTCCCACCGCCCCTGTTTCAGGGGCTGCATCATTTTTCTTATGTAAAATCATCCACATGAAGTGTCAGCTACTAACGAGTGCAACCCACAGTGGCCTTCCAGGGTGTCCTGTGTCCTTCTCCCCTGGGCTGAGTATACGTGATTAATAAATCTCATTTGTCCAGTGTCAGGTGTGGTGTGTTTGGTTATCCTCCTCACATTAGGGCAGCAATTCCTCCCTCACCAATGAGGTGAATAGGAGTTGATTAAAGCAACAGTATGTGAAGCTGCAAGAATGCCCCATTCTCTTCTGTGAGGAGCAATCACATAACCCAAGGCAGACCAATGAGTAATCCTTTGTGCTTAGACGAACAAAGAACCTAAAAATGGTTCAAGTTCTGTATCATACAATAAAGTTTTGCTTTCTATATACCTTTTTTTTTTTTTTGAGACGGGGTCTCGATGTGTCACCCAGGCTGCAGTGCAGTGGCACAATCTCGGCTCCCTGCAACCTCTGCCTCCCGGGTTCAAGCGATTCTCCCACCTCAGCCTCTCTAGTAGCTGGGAGTACTGGTGACCGCCACCACACCTGGCTAATTTTTGTATTTGTAGTAAAGACGGGTTTTCACCATATTGGCCAGGCTGGTCTCTAACTCCCTACCTCAAGTGATTTCCCCACCTCGGCCTCCCAAAGTACTGGGATTACAGGCATGAGCCATGGTGCCTGGCCTATATACTTTTATGCTAAGAGACTGATGATGAGGTTCCAACTTCCTACCTTCTTGAGCTGTCTTGGACTGCCCATTCCTAAGCTAGAATCTGTATGCAATTAGTTATCTATTGCTGTGTAACAAATTACCCCAAAACATAGAGATGTAAAACAGCACACACTTTTCTCACAATTTCTGTGGCTCTGACATCCCAGCTTAGCTTGGCCGAGCGCTCTGCTTCATGCTGTCTCCGAAGGCTGTAATCAAGGTTCCAGCCCACGGTTCCTCACAAGGCTCCTACAAAGGCAACAGCTGAGGTTGCCGCCATCTCAAGGTTGAGCTGGGGCAGGATCTGCTTCCAAACTCATCCAGTGGTTTCTGGAAAATGACTCAGTACCTCCTAGGCTGTTGGACTGAGGCTTGAGCTCTTTGCTGGCTGTTGGTCAAAGATCAGATCCTTGCTGTGTTGCCCTCTCCATCAGAATAAACATGGGTCAAGAAGCAGAGGGAGAACACCCAGCCATCAGAAGTCACAGTCTTTCATAACCAATCAAGAAGTGACATTTAAGCACTTTCATGACATTCTATACATTAGAAGGAACACATTAGACTGAACCCACATTCAAGAGGAAGGGTTACCTGCAGGCATGAGTATCAAGAGGCAGGGGTGATTGGGAGCCCTGCAGAAAGCTGCCCACCACACTGGGTTTGGTAAATAGTCACACTAGGGTAGACATGACCAAGTCTCCTTCAAAGATGGCATCTCCTTCCAAGGTGCGGGGTTCTAGCTAGAAAGAAACTTCCCAGCCCAAGATCACATTTCCCAGAGGCCTTTGCCTCTATGTGGGGCCGTGTAAGGGCCATGTAAGTGAATCTTGCCAATGCAAGGCCAGCAGGAGTGACATGTAGTACACGGGGCCCAGGGAGCTTATGGTGCAGGTGAGCTTTCTCCACTTGTCCGTGCCTTTCTTGCCACCTTGTCACAGATTCTTCCATCCATCTAGGAAGCCACCTGGTGAAAACGCAAAAGCCACAAGACACAAGGGCCTGAGTCCCTCTAATTGCTGCTCGCAAGAGAGCCACCATGTGATCTGGAACAAGCATTTGGGATTTGTCGAAAAAGAATTAATCATCAATTATGTATGAGCCTGTATGTATTCTGGAATTTATAACACCAGCCATCATTACATTAATGGGACACAACCACACACAAACACACACACACACACAATGGGTATTTCTGTATTCTGCATGACTAGTTATCAGTGTATGTGCTGGTATTCATCCATTCCCTCAACACTTTTTTTGTTCTTAAATCTGACTGTGGGTTACGTACTTGCTAGGAGCTATGGATGAAATAGTGAACAAGACAGATCCAACCGATGATCTAGAACTTACAGTTTAAAAGATATAAATAAGTATATCCACTCACAGTCTTCACTCACATTCATCTAGTCATTTGATTCCTACAACATTCCTGGAAAGTAGACAAAACAAAGGCCATTTTTTCGATTTCTAGGTGTGACAGCTGAAGCCCAGCAAGTTAGGGCACATGGCCAGTACTGGGCTCGGACAAGACCAAAGCCTGCTGTTTCTGAATCTGAATGAATGCTCTTCCTACCATACCTCACTACCTCCTAGTGTATATCCCAGCAAGGTAAGCAACACACTAGCAACACAATATGTATAATGTCAGGATGCCCAGATCCTAAGGGAAGAAAATGTTATGCAATAATAAAAACACAATCATCAGCCGGGCGCGGTGGCTCATGCCTGTTATCCCAGCACTTTGGGAGGCAGAGGCGGGCGGACCACTGAGGTCAGGAGTTCAAGATTAGCCTGGCCAACATGGCAAAGCCCCATCTCTACTAAAAATACAAAAATTAGCTGGGCATGGTGACGCGTGCCTATAATTCCAGCTACTCATGAGGCTGAGACAGGAGAATCACTTGAGATCATGCCACTGCATTCCAGCCTGGGCGACAGAGTAGGACTGTTGTCAAAAATAAAAATAAAAAATAAAAAATAAAAAAGCACAGTCATCAACTTGGGACATTGACTCTTTCTCTACCATGATTTTTTAAAATATTCCTTGTTCTCACAGAGCAATTTTATGCTTCTGAACTATCTGGTTGAGCCCCTATATATGTAAAATATATTAAGCTATTATTTTATTTTCCACACACTTTCCTCTCCATCAACTCCTTCATACATAGGGTTGTCTGGTAATGTATAGAACATCCAACTACATTTTAGTTTCAGATAAATTATAAATTTATAGTATAAGTATATCCCAAATATTGCTCTGAATATACTGATACTAAAAACTGTTCATCATTTATCTGAACTTCAAATTTAACCGTGGATCCTGCATTGTTACTTGGTATAATGATAAATCTACTCCCAACACACACTTCTTCCTCCTTCTTTTCCTGTGAGATGTGGGTTCAGTGTCTGCAGTTATTCCCATTTTATTTTATGCTCTTCTTCATCTTTAGAAATCTCAGCTGATCAATAATGAGATCGGAGGGAAATATGTTAAATAATGCCTTTCTACATTGATTACTTGAACCTCAGGTCACAAAGGGGAAAAATCCCTCAAACAGTAAATGACATGCATAATCCAAATGCCAGTGCAAAAGTCATATTCACTTTCTTTAATATGTACCAGTGTTGAACATTTAAATTTAGGAGTAGGGAATATAGTTTTGAAGTACTAATATTTTATGCAGTATTTGATATTTCCAGTCTCAAGAAATAAAATGCTGGTACAAAATTGCAAAAGGTAGCATTCTTTTGTGGAAATGTATAACCAAAAGCATTTGCTAACAATGCTTATAGAGACACTCTGTTTTCAAAAGGGCAAAGATGTGTGGAGGATAAGGAACATCTGGCGAATCCTCAACACCTTATTAGTTTTAAAAGATTTCCAAAGTTGCAAAATCATATTGAACAAAAGAAATAATGTGATTTCTATTAGGCAAAAATATTTTAGAGTGCCCTTCCTTGTGGCAACAGAAATGTGGCCATTTGCATCACTGTGGTCAGAGTGTGAATTAGTGGGGCCACTCCCGTCATCGTATGAAGAACATGAAAGGTTGACTCTTCCCACTAAGATGAACAAAATGAGAACATATCTCTGTCAACTTCCTCCCTTTAATGTAAAATTTTTTAAAAAGTGGTGCTCAGGGTAGATGGGAAAAAATGCCAGTGCTTATATTGATTCTCCAAACAAGTACCACACATGATAACATCTGTGTCAGTTAATTACCAAGGAAAAGGCAAGTTGAACTTGCTGATTTGGAGAGATTTAAATGGATACGAACAGCTGCCAATGCAACAGGATAGCATTCAAAGAATTTCAAGAAGTGAGAAGTAAGCAAGGGCAAGAAAAAGCAATGGGACAAGTGATTGTGGTTCTTTTTGATGAGTTTGTCCCCTGGGCCTGGCCACACAGTAAAACTCAAGTAAAGCACCTGACTCAGTGTCTCCCAGTGTTAACCCTTGACAACTTCTGAAACTACTGGTTGTAGAAGGAAGTTCTCCAGAATATACAGCCAGGACAGATGGAAAATCAATGTAACAGAGTAATCACAGAGTAATGACACGGTGTAACGCATCCATCAGCGACTCAGCTGAGAACTGAGGACTTTTTTTGTTGATACATAACATGTTGCATATTTATGAAGTACATGTGATATTTTATTACATGCATAGAACATGAAATGATCAAGTTAGGGTATTTGGGGTGTTCATCACCTTAAGTATCTATCATTTCTACGTGTTGGTTGGGAATATTTCAAGCCCTCTCTTCTAGCTACTTAAAAAATATCCAATACATTATTGCTAACTATAGTCACCCTACTCTGCTATAGAACATTAGAACTTGTATCTTCCATCTAACTGTATGTTTGTACCCATTAACTGACCTCTCTTCACACCCACCATTCATGCGTTCCCCCTTCCCAGCCTCTGGTATCTGTTATTCTGCTCTCTACCTTCCTGAGATCAGCCATTATAGCTCCCCCATATGAGTGAGAACATGAGATATTTGCCCTTTTGTGCCTAGCTTATTTCACTTAACATCATGACCTCCAGTTTCATCCATATTGCTGCAAATGACATTCCACTCTTTATTGTGGCCAGATAGTGTTCCATTGTGTACGTAAACCACATTTTTCTTTATCCATTCGTCCATTGATAGGTGCTTAGATTGACTCCACATCTTTGTTATTGTGAATAGTGCTGCAAAAAACATGCGAGTCCAGGTATCTCTTTGATATACTGATTTCTTTTCCTTTGGATGATACACAGTAGCGGGGTTGCTGAATCATATAGTAGTTCTACTTTTAGTAACTAGGAAGACATTTATAAAACTTCATAGAGGCTGAGATACACCCAATGGGTCTATGAATTTAAGCTCATGCACTTTGGGGGAAACATAAAAGAAGTAGCCAATTTGCAAATACCTACATATAGCTTGATAATTAAATAAATAAATGAACAGTTGTCGCAGACCAGCAGTGTTGCTAGGTGCTGGGTGAGCAAACAAAACAAGAGTCTTCCTTTCTGAAGCTTGAGCTCTAGATAACAGCGCCACCCAATGGAACTGTCCACCTTGCTGGAAATGGCTTATATCAGCACTGTCCAATATAATACTGGAAATGACTTATATCAATTCTGCCCAGAAACACAGTGCTGGAAAATGGCTTATATCAGCACTGCCCAATAGAACACAGTGCTAGAAGTGACTTATATAAACACTGCCCAATAGAACACAGTGCTGGAAAATGGCTTATATCAGCACCACCCAATAGAACACAGAGCTGGAAATGACTTACATAAACACTGCCCAATAGAACACAGTGCTGGAAAATGGCTGATATCAGCACTGCCCAATAGAGCACAGTGCTGGAAATGGCTCATATCAGCACCACCCAATGGAGTCACCATTAGCTACGCGTGCCTACTAAGCACTTGAAACATAGCTAGTGCAAATGAGAAACTAGTTTCATTAATTTAAATAGACACAGATGGCTAGGCTACCGTATTGGACAGCACAGGTCTACAGGTGAGATGGTTTCTAAGGCGAAAAATATTTTTTCCCAAGAAGCAAATTTGAAATCTTGGGACCCCACTATAGGAGGATACTCTAAGAGGTGTGAAATGTGAGAGTGACTGGTAGGAAGTGTGAGGAGAGAAACTAAAAATCAAAAAGGAGAATGTAGAAGGCCCACTGTGAGATCAGAAACAACACTTAGTTTATGAAGAAGAACATAGGGTCAAGGGTCTAAGACACACCCTCCGGCTTGCACACAAATCCAGCGGGCTGAGAGCCAGAGCCCATGGGAATCACTAGTTCTGACTCCATCCGTCATGCCACTGGGGTCACAAGATACATTTGGAAGAGGCCTCTTCCTAAAGGTGAAGAAGTCATTGAGGTTCTGATGACACTTCAAAATAAGTTTATAAATATAAGAAAATTTTGGTGTACTAAAGGATACATTTCCAAGGACAGATGTCCAAAGGAGAGGAATTGGAAATTTTATTAGCAAACTGTGGCAAATAAGATTCCATCCAGAAATTAAAGTCACTAGATTTATTTCTAAGAAAAAATCAGGCTGAGCGCAGTGGCTCACACCTGTAATCCCAGCACTTTGGGAGGTCAAGGCAGGTGGATCACTTGAGGTCAGGAGTTCAAGACCAGCCTGGCCAACATGGTGAAACCCCATCTCCACTAAAAATATAAAAATTAGCCAGGCGTGGTGGCACATGCCTGTAACCCTGCTACTCAGGAGGCTGAGGCAGGTGAATCACTTGAACCCAGGAGGCAAATGTTGCAGTGAGCTGAGATCGTGCCACTCCACTCCAGCCTGGGCGACAGAGTGAGACTCGGTCTCAAAAAGAAAATCATTTCTGTACGGAATCTTTAGATGGGGAAAGAACCCTTTAAGTCCTAGGATGAGTTAAACACCAAAGTTTATCTATGAAGGGGTTCTGGAATTAAAATCCATAGACAACTATGATAAGGAAGAGACCCACCACTGCAATTTGCAAAATAACACTTAACTTTCTGCAGCATTTCTTGCATTTTTTTTTTTTGAGATGAAGTCTCACTTTGTAGCCCAGGCTGGAGTGCAATGGCATGATCTCAGCTCACTGCAACCTCTGCCTCCTGGGTTCAAGGGATTCTCCTGTCTCAGCCTCCCAAGTAGCTGGGATTAAAGGCGTGTGCCACCACGCTCAGCTAATTTTTTTGTATTTTTGTAGAGATGGGGTTTCACCATGTTGGCCAGGCTGGTCTTGAACTCCTGACCTCAAGTGATCCACCCGCCTCGGCCTCCTAAAGTGCTGGGATTACAGGCATGAGCCACCGCGCCCAACCTTCTTGCTACTTCTAAAAATCATGAAACTGAGAAAGGATGAAGCTGCCCCTGGAATACACTTAAATATCCATATAAAAAGCGCACATTTCACCAGTCCTAGGAATGATAGTGTTAATAAATAGCAAGACATTCAACATGACAGAACCACTGTCCCTGGTGCCTCCTCGTTCTGGAGAGTGGGTCATCTTACGCTTCACCCACGTTCTCCAGCCTAGTGGCAAATCTGTCTTCCTTGTGTGTCATTTCAACATCTTTTCTTAGTCAGCTGATATTTTTCTTCATTTCTTTAACTTTATGAACAATCATTGTAAAAGTAAGAAAAAGTTGGGCTGGGCGCGGTGGCTCACGCCTGTAATCCCAGCAATTTGGGAGACTGAGGCAGGCGGATCACGAGGTCAGGAGATCAAGACCATCCTGGCTAACACAGTGAAACCCCGTCTCTACTAAAAATAAAAAAAAATAGCCAGGTGAGCTGGCGGGCGCCTGTAGTCCCAGCTACTTGGGAGGCTGAGGCAGGAGAATGGCATAAACCCAGGAGGCGGAGTGTGCAGTGAGCCAAGATCACGCCACTGCACTCCAGCCTGGGTAACAAAGCAAGACTCTGTCTCAAAAAAAAAAAAAAGTAAGAAAAAGTTTTGACTTTCTAATAAAACATAAAATGTGACTTTTAAGAAAATAAAGTTAAGATTATTAGCTTTAGGAAAAGGATAAAGTATATGAAATGAAACCCTTTATGACTTTAATGAATTCAAATACTAAATATAAAATTAGAGCCAATAGCTGCTTTATGAATCAAGGGATAAGTTTACTGCACCTAATGGTATATTTCATTCCTTCGAGGTCTCTCTCTCCCACCACCATCACAAAAGAACGCAAATACTGAAGTGTAAGTTAAACCAAGCAAGAAAAATTATATAAATACTTTCTAAAAATATTTTAATTTCAATCTTGATAAAAGAAAGGATAGCATCCTATAGGATGAATTGATTTAGTCTTTGACTTGCAAATTATACCCCAATTACTGTATGATGCAGAGAATATGCCATTGTCTATGAAGTGAATGACAGTTAATATGATCATCATGGAAATAAAGATAAAATGCAAAGAGGATTCAGGTATATAGTAATAATTTGAATTGTAAATGTAAAAAGATTCTTTATTCACTGGCTAAGATAAAGATGAGATACTCTCTATTACTCCCTTACTGGGTTGATTTTGTAGGAAAAAAAAAGCTAATAATACCTATTGATCGGCCAGGTGCGGTGGCTCACGCCTGTAATCCCAGCACTTTGGGAGGCGGAGGCGGGCAGATCACGAGATCAGGAGATCGAGACCATTCTGGCTAACACGGTGAAACCCCGTCTCTACTAAAAACACAAAAAATTTAGCCGGGCGTGGTGGCGGGCGCCTGTAGTCCCAGCTACTCGGGAGGCTGAGGCAGGAGAATGGCGTGAACCCAGGAGGCGGAGCTTGCAGTGAGCTGAGATCGCGCCACTGCACTCCAGCCTGGGCGACAGAGCAAGACTCTGTCTCAAAAAAAAAAAAACAAACAAACAAACAAACAAAAAAAAAACCTATTGATCACAGGTATCATGAATCGTGGTGTTACAGAGCTAAAACCTAGGGATCACTCGTCATTATTTGGCACAAAAATCTATTGACCCAATCAATGTAGCTATTAAAGGGAAAACTTAAGTTATGAATACCTTATTACCTTTTGTCTCTGCTCTATGGAACTGCAAAGAGCAGTTATGTAGGTGTTTTGATTGAGATTTTATTTTTAATCTGAAAAATTGAATGGTAAAAGGAAACTGTTTATAGGTCTTTACTTTCTTGTTTCCTTTATTCCACCTTTCTCTAATTCCACAAAATTCTTAGCTTTCACTCAAAACTACTAAAATAAGAAAAGAAAAAAGAAACATATTTATCATCACCAATCCATGATCGTTTATTTGTTTTTAACTAACTAGAAGGCACCAAAAACCAAAGAATAATTTAAGGGACTAAATGTGACTTAAAATTGAATTCCTTAGTTTCAAAAGTTTGAATTTCATACCACATTATAATTTTGTCTGTATATAATGAAGTAATTAAATGAATAATTAAAAATTCAGTGAATCTGCTTGTGTTAAATATTATAGATTAACATAAGCAGTTACTTTTACTTGTTTTCAAGACAGCACTAAAGGAAGCATAAATCAATTTTTAAAGGCATAAAGCCTTTAAAACTAAGGAGATGGGAAATAGAGAGAGAGAGACGCTGAGGCAGAGGCAGAGACTGGGACAGAGAGATATCTTCTTGTTTAAACCACAGTGACAAAGAATTTAGGAGCAGAAACCATGGACATAAACTTTTGGATGCTTAATTCCAGCAGTAGATCAAGAACGATGAATCATTCACAGTCTGGGAAATCAGGAGTCAATTCAATTCGTGCTACAGAAACCCCCAAATACTCAGGAAAATTTAGCACCAGGTGCCTCTAAACATGAGAGTAGAAACAGAGTTAAGACATTTTTAGCCCTTCTAAAAAACACTGATATTCATCCTTTTAAGTAAACAACCTCTGGACTGAGCATGGGTATCTGGATATCTACGTGTAAACCAGGCCCAGTTTACATGTAAATATCCAGAACACAGAGACATAAAACCATTCTCCAGTTGGGGTCTACATTCTTACAACTAGGGCTCCACCCTCCAGAAAGGAGGTTGAAAACTGTCTAGAAAATTTGACCAGCCCATGTGGATAAGTCTAAGTGTATTGGCATTAGGGCTTCCTAATTGAAGTAGCCCACCTGACCATCTACAGTGAAGCCCACCAAAGACAAGCCCCATGACATGCTGAACTGTGATGTTCCCCACTCTTTGATCTGAGCAGAAAACTAAGGATATAGGAAATACACACACACACACAGAGAGAGAGAGAGAGAGAGAGAGAGAGACTGGGACAGAGAGAGCTTCTTGCATAAAAAATAGATTCCAAGGCCAGGCGTGGTAGCTCACGCCTGTAATCCCAGCACTTTGGGAGGCTGAGGCGGGTGGATCACGAGGTCAGGAGATGGAGACCATCCTGGCTAACACGGTGAAACCCCATCTCTACTAAAACTACAAATTAAATACTAAAATAAATATATATAAAATATATATAAAATACTAATAAAAATACTAAAAATAAAAACTAGCTGGGCGTGGTGGTGGGCACCTGTAGTCCCAGCTACTCAGGAGGCTGAGGCAGGAGAATGGCGTGAACCCAGGAGGCAGAGGTTGCAGTGAGCCGAGATCATGCCACCGCACTCCAGCCTGGGCGACAGAGCGAGACTCCATCTCAAAAAATAAAAAAAAATAAAATAGATTCCAAAACAAATAGCAACTTGGAGGAAATGGAGATGCTATGGGAAGAAAAAAAAATCTCCAAATAAGGACAAAAATAGCAATATAGGTTTGTTATTGAAATACATAGAGATAAATAATAAAATAGAAATATTTATTTTGTTTAAAATAGAAAATAATAAAATGGCAATAAATATAAAAATAATAAATGGTGGAATATAATAAAATGGCAGGGATTGCCTCTGGAAGGAGGGAAATGAGAACCGCTACTTTTTGTAAAAAGCCTTGGTGAACCATGTGAATCTTTGTAATGTAAATGCATATATTTGCTATTAACATGCAAAGAATGTTAGTATGTATACATATCTCCTAGCTCCCTCCACGAAGATGGGTTAGAAGCAGTGACACCCCAGCAGGAATGAGTACAGCTAGCACCCAGGTCTTGATTTCTAAATTCGATTGTATTAGTCCATTTTCACACTGCTATAAAGAATACCTGAGGCTGGGTCATTTATAAATAAAAGAGATTTAATTGATTCACAGTTCCCCATGGTTGAGGAGGCCTCAGGAAACTTACAATCATAGCAGAAGGAGAAGCAAGCATCATCTTCACAAGGCGGCAGGAGAGAGAGAGAGAGACAGAGAAAGGGGAAGCACCAGACCCTTATCAAATACCAAATCTTGTGAGAACTCCCTCGCTATCATGAGAACAAGGGGGAAACTACCCCCATGATCCAGTCACCTCCCACCAGATTCCTCCCTCAACGTGTGGGGATTACAATTTGAGATGAAATTTGGGTGGGGACACAGAGCCAAACCATATTATTCCATCCTGACGCCTCCCAAATCTCATGTTCTTTTCACATTTCAAAACCAATCATGCCTTTCTGACAGTCCCCTGAAGTCTTAACTCATTCCAGCATTAACTGAAAAGTCCAATCCAAAGTGTCATCTGAGACAAGTCCCTTTCGCCTGTGAACCTGTAAAATAAAAAACAAATTAGTTACTTCCAGGATACAATGGGGGTACTGGTATTGGGTAAATGTTCCCATTCCAAATAGGAGAAATTGGCCAAGAGAAAGGGGCCACAGACCCCATACAAGTCCACAAACTGGCAGGGTAGTCATTAAATCTTAAAGCACCACAATAATCTCCTTTGACTCCAAGTCTCACATCCAGGGCACACCAATGCAAGGGGTGGGCTCCCAAGGCCTTGAGCAGCTCTACCCCTGTGCCTCTGCAGGGTACAGCCCCCAAAGCTGCTTTCCTGGGCTGGCATTGAGTGCCAATCACTTTTCCAAGTGCATGGTGCAAGCTGTTGGTGGATCTACCATTCTGGGGTCTGGAAGACGGTGGCCCTCTTTTCACAGCTCCACTAGGCAGTGCCCCACTGGGGACTCTGTGTGAAGGCTCCAATCCCTCATTTCCCCTCTGCATTGACCTAGTAGAGGTTCTCTATGAGAACTCTGCCCTTGCAACAGACTTCTGCCTGGACATCCAAGCATTTCCATACATACTCTGAAGTCTAAGTGGAGGCTCCCAAGACTCAACTCTTGTCTTCTGTGCACCCACAGGCCCAACACCATGCAGAAGCCACTAAGGCTTGGGGCTTGCACCCTCTGAAGCAATGGCCTTAGCTGCATCTTGGTCCCTTTTAACCACAGCTAGAGTGGCTGGAATGCAGGGTGCCATGTCCCAGGGCTGCACAGAGCAGTGGGGCCCTGGGTCTGGCCCATGAAACCATTTTCCCCTCCTTGGCCTCTGGACCTGTGATGGAAGATGCTGCTGCCAAGATTGCTGATATGCCCTGGAGACATTTTCCCCATTGTCTTGGCTATTAACATTCTGCTCCTTGTTACTTATGCAAATTTCTGCAGTGGGCTTGAATTCCTCCCCAGAAAATGGGTTTTTCTTTACCACATGGTCAGGTTACAAATTTTCCAAACCTTTATGCTCTGCTTCCCTTTTAAACATAAGTTCCAATTTCAAACCATCCCTTTGTGAACGCATATAATGGAACACTTTCAGGTCACATTTTAAATGCTTTGCTGCTTAGAAATTTCTTCCACCAGATACCCTAAATCATCTCTCTCAAGTTCAAGGTTCCACAGATCTCTAGGGCAGGGGAAAATGCCACCAGTCTCTTTGCTAAAGCATAGCATGAGTGATCTTTACTCCAGTTCCCAATAAGTTCCTCATCTCCATCTGAAACCGCCTCAGCCTGGACATAATTGTCCCTATCACTATCAGCATTTTTGTCAAAACCATTCACCAAGTCTCTAAGAAGGTCTAAACTTTCCCATATCTTTCTGTCTTCTGAGCCCTCCAATCTGTTCCAACCTTTCCCTGTTACCTAGTTTTGAAGTCATTTCCACATTCTCAGGTATGTTATAGTAATGCCCCACTATCTCAGTACCAATTTCCTGTATTAGTCCATTTTCACACTGCTATAAGGAATACCTGAGACTGGGTAACTTATAAATAAAAGAGGCATAATTGACTCACAGTTCCACATGGCTGGGGAGGCCTCGGGAAACTTACATCATGACAGAAGGTGAAGGGGAAACAAACACCCTCTTCACAAGGTGGCAAAAGAGATATAGAGAGAATGGGGAAGTGTCAGACACTTATCAAACAATGAGATTTCATGAGAATCCCCTTACTATATGATCCAATCACCTCCCACTGGGAACCTCCCTCAACATGTGGGAATTACAATTGGAGATGAGATTTGGGTGGGGACACATAGCCAAACCATATCAACCATTCATCAATAAAAGACACCAGGACTCCTCGGAGAACTTGTAAATTCTAGGGCTGGATAGAGAAAATACAAGATGAGCTGGAGCATCTTGTAACACCAGTAAGGAAATACTACACACACACACACACATCAAAGTGACAGGAGACCAACCTGAAAGAGATGCTAGGAGCAAAAGTTGAGACAATTTTAGCAACAACATAAATAAAAATTCTATTGAATAGTAAACAAGAGAATAACATCAATTTCCTTAAGTTCATGCTTATGTAGAACCAAATAACTGAAAAAACTCAATGTGGGAGATGATACTGTCTCAGATACCCTTCCCTACAGAAAATTCCAATTAGTGATTGTAAAAAAAATGAGGGAAATGGAAAACCACTGCTAGAATACCTAAGTTATAATCACTACAGACAACATTTACCCAGAGATGTTAATATTAATGTTTGAAAATTTAAGCAGATGCAGGATATTTGCAGAGTCTTAAAGAATATCTCTCAAAATTTATAGTTATTATAAAGAGAAAAATAGTAACCTTACAGTGGATAATCCTGGCTGACAGGACTTCAGCCAAATGATCTAGGTTAACACCACCAGTGATGTCATGTTGACATTTACACCCCCTGATTACAGTGTGATAAGGAGGCTCCCCCACTTCTGTGATATGCTATCCAACAATCATGACTTCAGTTAAACCACGAGAAAATGCAATACACATCCAAATTGGGAGGCAGTCTTCAAAATCACTGACCAGAATGGTTCAAAAGAATCAAAGTCATGAAAGATGAGAAAAGACTCTAAAAAATTAAAATATATTCAGATTTAAGATAAATGCCAGAGTGGCTGGCAAGATGGCCAAATAGGAACAGCTCTGGTCAGCAGCTCCCAGCAAGATCAATGTAGAAGGTGGGCGATTTCTGCATTCTTAACTGCGGTACCCGGCTCATCTCATTGGGACTGGCTAGACAGTGGGTGTAGCCCAATGAAGGCAAGCTGAAGCAGGGTGGGGCGTCACCCTCACCCGGGAAGCACAGGGGGTCGGGGAACTCCCTCCTGTAGCCAAGGGAAGGCGTGAGGGACTGTGTCGTGAGGGACAGTTCACTCCGGCCCAGATACTACGCTTTTTCCATGGTCTTCACAACCCGCAAACCAGGAGATTCCCTCTGGTGCCTACACCACTAGGGCCCTAGGTTTCAAGCGCAAAATTGGGCAGCCGTTTGGGCAAACACCAAGGCAGCTACAGGAGTCTTTTTTTCATACCCCAGTGGGCCTAGAACACCAGCAAGACAGAGCTGCTCACTCCCCTGGAAAGGGGGCTGAAGCCAGGGAGCCAAGTGGTCTAGCTCAGTGGATCCCACCCCCACGGAGCCCAGCAAGCTAAGATACACTGGCTTGAAATTCTTGCTGCCAGCACAGCAGTCTGAAGTCAGCCTGGGATGCTCAAGCTTGGTGCGAGGAGGGGCGTCCGCCACTACTGAGACTTGAGTAGGCGGTTTTACCCCACACAGTGGAAACAAAGCCACTGGGAAGTTCAAACTGAGAGAAGCCCACCACAGCTTGGCAAAGCCACTGTAGCCAGACCACCTCTCTAGATTCCTCCTCTCTTGGCAGGGCATCTCTAAAAGAAAGGCAGCAGCCCCATTCAGGGGCTTATAGATAAAACTCCCACCTCCTCCACAGTGCAGTGGTGCGATCTTGGCTCACTGCAACCTCTGCCTCCTGGGTTCAAGTGATTCTCCTGCCTCAGCCTCCTGAGTAGCTAGGATTACAGGTGCGCACCACCACACCAGGCTAATTTTTGTATTTTTAGTAGAGGCAGGGTTTCACGAAGTTGGCCAGGCTGGCCTTGAACTCCTGACCTCAGGTGATCCGCCTGTCTCATCCTCCCAAAGTGCTGGGATTACAAGCATGAGCCACTATGCCCGGCCAACTGTTATCTTCCTGGATTAAATATGGGTCCCAAGGATTTTGCAGAAATGTAAACTACAGTCCATGTCCTCAAAGAACTCAGACTAGCTTAAGACAGACATAAAAAAACTACAGAATTTATATTCTGTATTATAATTAGTTATTTAATGAACTATATTATAATTGTTATTTAATGAATTATTATAATAAGTTATTTAATGAACATTCTTTCACATTTTAATATTCCTAAAAGTGAAATGCATTTTCTATCTAACAACACCTTAAATTTTCAGTTAGCATCCTTCATTCTTTCTTAGTGGTACAAAATAATGTTGGTGCATTGTACAATTGAGGGAGTTTTAGCTTAAAGAAAATATGTTAATGAAAGGTTAAATTATTTGATCGTGATCCTAAGACCTGTAGGAACCAAGGAGGGTGGAGCTCCTGGAGGAGGCGGGACTTGGACTTGTGCCTCTTCAGTGCTTGGGCAAAGGGAAAGCAGAGATATCTCCTGACACTCCCGTCGAGGCATCCATTTCCCTTCACCCTCAGAGCAGCATCTGATTTTGTTCAAGCCACCACATTCTCTCCTATGTGGCCTATCCTGATTGAGCTGCTCTCTTCTCTTTGCATCCTGTCCAGTCGGTTCTCTCACTGTGGCCCCGATGTTCTATGTTTATCTTTCTTCCAGCTTTATTGAGGTATAATCATCAAATAAAAAATTGTATATCTATTAGGCCGTGCAAAACATGATGTTTTGATATGCATATACATTGCAAAGTCATTACCACAATCAACTTTGTTAACATATCCATCACCTCACATGGTTACTTTGTGTGTGTGTGTGTGTTGAGAACACTTGAGATCTACTCTTGGTAAATTTAAAACAGAGAATACATTGTTAATAACTATAGTCACCATGCTGAACCCCAGGATTCCAGTATTTGTTCACCTTATAAGTGAAGGTTTGTACCCTTTGACTAGTATATTTCTTAAGTAAAAAACTAATTACATCATTCCTAATTTAAAACCCTCTAATGTTGCCTTGTCGCCCTGAGGATAAATCCCAAACTCCAAGGATACAAAACCCATCACAATTTGGTATCTGCCTAATACCGAAGCCCTACCAGGGCCCTCCCTCCAATACTGTTAAACCCTGTAATTCACTCCCCAGGCCCCCATAACACACCACACTCTCTCACCTCTAAGCCTTTCACAGGAGGGCACCCCTGCCGGGAAGTCCCTTATCCCTTCCTCATCCTTTCCCCTGGGTAAAAACTCGGTCAATTCCACAGACCTTTGGCTCACACTTTGCAGCAGAGAGGGCATCCCTTATTCCAGTTCCCCCTTCTCACAGTGGAGAATGGCCACTGAAGAGCCTGGGGTAACGTCTCCCAGCCCCGCTGCCCTCCAGGTTCAGCCACGCAGCTGGTGCTCCCATGGAATGAGAGTGGAAATGAGGGGTGTCATTCCTGGGCCAAGGTGCTTAAGAAGTGGGTTTGCCATCTCTGTCCCTCTCCCACCCCTGTTTGTTGGCTGGATGCCAAGGTCTTCCAGGTCCTACATCTGCTAGGTGGAAAAAATGGACAATTATTACCTTGTGTTCATCCATTAAGGTTTGGGATTTCTTTGTGATAACAGCTACTGCTACCCTAACTGTCACACAGATAATATACGGGCATGTGTCTCTTAATGGGGACACATTCTAAGAAATGCATCATTAGGGTATGCTGTCATTGTGTGACCATCGTAGAGAGTACTTACACAAACTAGGTGATAGAGCCTCCTACACACGTAGGCTATATGGTAGGGCCTATGACTCCTAGGCTACAAATCCATACAGCAGGTTATTATACTAAATATTTAGGCAATTATAGAACAGTGGTATTTGTGTATCTAAACATAGAAAAGGTACAGTGAAAATAAGGTATAACAGTAAAAATGACACATGTGTATAGACAGTTCCCACTATAATCTTAGGGGACCACCATCGTATATGCAGTCATTGTTGACTGGAACATGGATATGTGGCACATGACTATATAACCTTATGATAAACCTAGTCTCAATTTGAAATTAAAAATTACATTGATTTGGCCAGGCATGGTGGCTCATGCCTATAATCCCAGCACTTTGGGAGGCCGTGGTGGGTGGATCACTTAAGGTCAGGAGTTCGAGATCAACCTGGCCAACACAGTGAAATCCTGTCTCTACTAAAAATACAAAAATTAGCCAGGCATGGTGGCAGGAGCCTGTAATCCCAGTTACTTGGGAGGCTGAGCCAGGAGAATTGCTTGAACCCAGGAGGCGGAGGTTGCAGTGAGCTGAGATCATGTCACTGCATTCCAGCCTGAACAACAGAGCAAGACTGTATTTCAAAAACAAAATTAAAAATTACCTTGATTAGACGCGACAACAAAATGCAGTATTCTGGATGGGATCCTGGAGTAGAAAAAGGACATTAGGTAAAAATCTAAGGAAATCTGAAAGAATTTATACTTTAGTTAATAATAATGCATTCATCTTGATTCATTAGTTGGAATACATGAACTGCACAAATGCAAGACGTTACCAATAGGGGAAGCTGCATGTTGGGGGAGGAGTGTTATATGGGTACTCTGTTTTTTTCTGTTCAATTTTTTAAAAACCTAAAACTATTTTTTAAATATTGCGTTCTAATAGGTATAAAGTTTCAGTTATGCAGATGATTAAGTTGTAGAGCTTCACGGTTTGTAAAGTATACAATGCCATATTGTTTAACGTAGTGCCATGGCTGGCTACCCTTTTAAAACATCTCCAGACCAATATATCCACTGTAGGTTCTATAATAGGTCACTAGGATTCACACAATTGTATCCCATTAGCAGAGAAAAAGCATAATTTTTTTTTTTGGCCAGGCACGATGGCTCACTCCTATAATCCCAGCACTTTGGGAGGCCGAGGTGGGTGCATCACGTGAGGTCAGGAGTTCGAGACCAGCCTGACCAATATGGTGAAACCCTGTCTCTACTAAAAATATAAAAATTAACCAGGCATGGTGGCGTGCACCTGAAGTCCCAGCTACTCAGGAAGCTGAGACAGAAGAATTGCTTGAACCCAGGAGGCTGCACTCCAGCCTAGGCAACAGAGCGAGTCTCCGTCTCAAAAACAAACAAACAAACAAGCAAACAAACAGAAAAGTATATTTTTTTCCTTCTGTTCTCCCATGCAGCCCTCTACTCTGCTGTCACAGATGGGTTTAGCTGTCTCTGATGTGAATCAGCACCAGCCGTTCACGCCCACCTAACTGCAAGAATTCAGGTCAAGCTCCACAGACATCCCTCCCCCAAGAATCCGATCCATAAATACCCTCAATGGAGATGAATCATCTAATAAGCTTTGAAATGTCTCATAGTGGTCTCCCTCACACCTCGCACTGGTATTTGGTTTCGATGCCTTTTTCACTCTTCCATCTTCACTTCCAATTCATCATTCTGAGGTGCATATTTACAAGTCTGCCTCTCTCCCCGGACAGTGAATATTTGAAGACAGAGACAATGTTGTATTCCTGGTTAGAACGCTAGGATCCAGCACAGAGAAGAAGGCAGAGCAGCTTCTCAGTAACCATTTTTCTGGGCCTGGGGGAAGACAATTCAACTGAGGGATAAGATGAGCCTCTAAATCAAAGGCTTGGGATTGGGGTTTTAGTGGGCTACCAGTACAGTTTCACAAGTTGCACACTGCTCAAATCAGTAAATTTCATTAACATAAACTACGGTATAAAAAGTGTCTTATAGAATGGAGCAGTGTAGGCATGACCTGCATGACCTGCAGACCCCCTGGGCAAGGCCTGGGTATGAGACACAATAGCTTGAGCCATCTCTCTTCCTGTTATCAATTCCCACCCTTAGGTAGCTAATTTGGACTCATGCAAGCCAAGGATCATCAGAAGATAGTCCAAAGATTAGAAAGGGAAATCGTAAAACCTCTACAGACAGCGAGACAGTGTGCTCTCACTACCTGTATGAAATGCAAAAAACCAAGTGCAAAATAATTTCAAATGACGAAACATCAGTGTGTTATATCAAGATATAAAATTAATTATACAAAAACTTAAATATTAATGCCAATTCTCAAAGCAGTATGATACTTTGTACAAACAAAATATTTAATTATGATGGAAGTTGCTCTGGATACAACATTCTAAAGCATCAAAACTTTAAAAAATATTATTACCAGAAATTATTCAAATTGAAGCCAAAATAGAATTGTTTCTTCCCTCTCTGTAAGGTGCTGTCAAGAAGCTATTATAAAAATAACCATACAGTTTAGTCTTAAGCTTTTCATAGTTTATTTAAAGGCATAAATTGAAGCATCTCTCTCAGGGGAAACAAAGGAAGTTTCTTCACAGGGACTTTTCAAAAATATCCCTGAAACCAAAAATCATGCTGATGACGCTAAAGAAGGTGTGTGGCAGAGCCCACATGTTGCCAGCTGGGATGGCCAAGGAGAGGACTAGAAATGAAGCAGAGGATGCCTCGGAAAATAGGAGGGTTGCCTGTTGCTGGGAACATGGGGAAATCCCCTGCAATTGTCTCTGCTCCAGAAGGATTTCAGGGACCTCATAAAAGGTATAACAGCCAATGAAGTATTTTCAGAAAATATGTTTACAAATAGGCATAACTAATTGAAATTTCAGCCACTTGAAAAAATGCAACAGAATGGAAAATGCCAAAACCAGTTAACAGAGAAAAAGAAGGATAACCCAACTCAAATAATGCAGGAAAGAAAGGAAAAATATAGGCATAGGAGAAGCAAGATCAACAAACTAAAATGTCTATTGTCTTAACATCAGGCAGCCTAAAATCTGTTAGGAAGGAAACCTCATGCTTTAGAAAATACAGGGATAGGCAATTTCGGGTAAAAACAGAGCTCTTGAGAGTGAAAGTATAAGCAAAAAGGGAAAACAATCAAAAAGATTTTTAAGCTCTTCTTCATGAAAAAATGAGAGAAATTTGTGACTAATCTACTAATTATAAAAATGACAAAAACTGAGCAAAGGAGCAGAGATGGGCAAGAGAGGGGCAGGGGGCAGCTGGTCCACAGGACACCTTTGTGTGCATTCAGAGGAGTCCCTTCCTCTGCTCCTGCCAGGATGCAAGGCTTGGTGGGCAGAGCGAGGGCTACGTGCCAGGCCCCCGCACCCCTTTACCAGGAGTCTCTGTGAGCTGCACACCTTGTACATCTATAGGCTATGGTCAAGGTCAAGAGGGAGGCCTCTAACTGATAGGGAGAGATGGTCTCTGAGGACATGACCCCACGCCCAAGGAGCCAAGTTCACTGAAGCACAAGCTTAGAAGCAGGATGCTTATGTTCTCTGTGAAGTTGTCTACATTGCTCCATTGAAGTTATAATCCCTGCTTTTGTTGCTCCAAGTGCTTGGCACATTCAATAGTCTCTTGAACATATGAATTCTTTTTTAAGCTTTATTGAGGTATAATTGATATACAAGCAATTGCACATATTTAATGTATACGTCTTGATGAGGTGGACATATGCATACACCTTGATATCATCACCACAACTGAGGCACTAGACATATGCATCACCCCCAAGAACTTCCTTGTGTTCTTTTGTGTGCTTTCTTCCTTCATTTTGTTTTAAGACCACTTAACATGAGCTCTGTCCTCTTAATATATTTTAAAGTGCATGACACCATATCACTAACTTCAGGTACTACAGGTACAGCAAATCTCTAGATCTTATTTATCTTGCATAAATGAAATGTTATACTCATTGACTCACCTCTCCCCATTTTCTCTTCCCCCAGTCTCTGAAAACCATTGTTCTATTCTCTTCTTCTATGCAGTTGACTTTTAAAAATTCTGTATATAAGTGAAATCATGCAGTATTTGTCATTCTGTAACTGGCTTGTTCACTTAGCATAATGTCCTCTAGGTTCATCCATGTTGTCACAAATGGCAAGATTTTATTCCTTTTTCACGTTGAATAATATTCCATAGTATGCATATGTAGATACATATTTGCTTTATCAATTCATCCATCAATGGATAATTACGTTGTTTCCATATCTTGGCTCTGGCAGATAGCACTGCAATGAACATGGGAGTATAGATATCTCTTTGACATACTGATTTCATTTCCTTTGAATATATACCAGAAGTGGGGTTGCTAGATTGTATTAATAGTAGTTCTATTTTTAATTTTCTGAGGAATCTCCATACTGTTTCTATAGTGGCTGCACCATTCTACATTTGTAGATTCTTTATGTGAGTATGCGTTGTGGAAATCAAAAAGAGGGCTAAGCTGGTGAGTCATTCACATGCTTCCAACAATGGCAGTCATTTGGGGATTGACAGGTGACCTTCATAGTCTCACAGAGAACAAGGTTAGTAGCCTGCAGGGAGTGGAAACTCAATGCATAATTTTTACAGAATTTAAAAATAACTGCAAGAAGCACAAAATACACTTTTCAGGAGACACCAGCCTAGAGGTGTTTGGTGATGACATCTGCCTGTTCGTGTTGAGTCCCTGTCAGATTGGTAAGTAAGGGCTTACTGCATTTCTTATTTCCCCAGTGATATTCTAATACTCTGAAATGATTACCTGATACATTTGTAAAAGCTGCCAGCCAGGCACAGTGGCTCACACCTGTAATCCCAGCACTTTGGGAGGCTGAGATGGATCAAGAGGTCAGGAGTTCGAGACCAGCCTGACCAACATGGTGAAATTCCATCTCTACTAAAAATACAAAAGTTAGCCAAGCATGCTGGCATGAACCTATAATCCCAGCTACTCAGGAGGCTGAGGCAGGAGAATAGCTTGAACCCGGGAGGCAAAGGTTGCAGTGAGCTGAGATCACACCACTGCACTCCAGCCTGGGCAACAGAGTGAGACTCCATCTCAAAAAAAATAAAATAATAAAATAAAATAAATAAAAATAAAAAAACAAGCTGCCATCAGCTAGACACATTGCCTGGATCTACACAGTAAGATGGCGCTGCCAGTAAAGAAAGTGCACTAGCAGTGCCATCTTACTATGCTGTCTACAGATAAGAGAGGACTGGATGCTACCCTGGCCCATCTGCTTTGCAACTATGCACAGTGTTTTTTCTGTGAACAGAAACCATCATCTCAATGTCTAAGAGGGGCTGAGTTCCAGAAGTCTCAGCCCAGAACCTCCACACCTACCCAGGCTGCAATCAGAATGCATCCAGGACTTGGTGAAAGCTGCTGAGAAAAGACACATTATTTTCTGCTAGATGTAAACCTGGAGGGACATGAGGCTGGAACTGCAGCAGCCCATGCTGCCTCCACCTACGAAGATCTTGTATGACAATGGAACGCATACAGCAGAAGGCAAGAAATGCAGTTCCATATAAACTATATCCTGAGGAACCCCTGGATTCAGCTAGACCTGAAGCCCATTCTTCCCCAAGTACTTTACCTACACAAACTGTACCTTTTTTGTTGCTTAAGCCAATTTGAATTAGATTTTCTGTCACTTGCAAATGTAAGAGGCCAAACAGTTATAGTTCATAAATTCAGGACCATGTGTTGTTAATTTTGGCCTTCCTGCTTTGTAGAATAGCATCTAAAGTAAAGCAGACACTGAAGAGGAAGGAAGGAAGGAAGGAAGGAAGGAAGGAAGGAAGGAAGGAAGGAAGGAAGGAAGGGAGGGAGGGAGGGAGGGGGAGGGGGAGGGAGAGGTGGGAGTCAGAGTGAAAGTTTAAGTTGAACAGCCGACCTGAGAAAGAGGAAGGCTATAAATGGATGGCCTTATAATCTCCACCAAAAAAAAAAAACACCTTCTTGTGCCCCAGGTGGCATCACCCACGAAATAAAATAGTCTATTAGGCTTATCCGTGTCTCCCATGGATAGGTACTTTTGTAATTAAATAACCACCTTTAAAAATCTTACTATATTGAAAGAAAGTAATTTAACTAATTTTAATTGGATGGTGAATTACACAGACCAGTGGATTTTGATAAACAAGTCTGTTCTAAATGGATACACTAGAAAAACCATTTCTAAAATAATTAATACTGAATTAGATTCCATGCTCAGGCCTCATTTGCAAACCACTACAAAGGATATTTATACTCCAGAACAGACAATTCTCCCACCTCATAGTAAGTTGTCCCTGGGAGATGAGGGTTATTGTTCCAGTTTATCTCTGAAACCTGGGCTTTTTGAGGGTTTGGATATCCAGAAAAGCCACAATAGTGAAGCTGACAGATCTTGCTTTTTCTGGGAATTGTACAATTACTGCATGTGCAGGGACAAACAACGCCCCCCCACCGCTGGGCAAAAAAAAAAAAAAGAGAAAAAACAGCTCAATTCAAAGCATGAAACCTTCCATTTTCATAGAGGAAAAACCAGCCATTAAAAGTGAAGGAATCTCCCATAGTTCTGGAATCGTGTTTTGTAGGTTTTGGGGGAATATTTTAGTTACACAAGGAAAAGTAAAACAGAACATAGGATGCATAAAGACAAAACTTATTTTTAAACATCTGAAATGTTTAGCCGTGCTTTGCCTCTGAAGAGGCCAATATTCAGACATGCAGATATGGAAAAGAGATCAAAGAAACGTTTACCAAATACAAACAATCTTCAGCTTCCTATTAAAGGATAAAAACAAAGTGAAAACCAATCGAATCAAACCCCAACAACCTTTCCATAGATTCCTATTTGGAAATATACTGAAATAAACACAATTACACCAGGGCGGAGGGTCTACATTCTAACGAAAGGGACAATGAAGAAACATGATCACAGTCATATTGGATTGGGCCTGCCTCACGTTGGGATGAGCTCATTGTAGCTACGTAATCTCTGTACAAAACCTTTTTGCAAATTTCTGGTCATTGTTGCATTAACTACGGGGCAAGACAGTACTGCTATGTAGAAAGCAACTGCTGGAAGATGTAGGCAGGAAGTCTAGCTGAAGGCAGTCTTTATAAGCATGCCATATAATAATTTCAGAATGTTAAACAGCTTCTACTAAGACACTGATCATTTTTGAGCCAGGTGAAAATGAATCTCCATGTTTGCCAATTTTTTCAGGAAATATCAAAATTCAAATTTTTATGTGAAATATTTGGTTTTGCATGTGGGCTACTATTATGATTCAAAATGTATTTTATGAGACCGCTTGCCAAAGGGAACCCTTCAGAAATCCAGGCTGCATTTCTGCTTCCGAACACCCCTTGGCACCAGCGAATGAAAATTCTGTATTAGATTCCTGTGGCTACCATAACAAAGTGGTTGATATGGTTTGGCTGTGTCCCCACCCAAATCCCACCTTGAATTGTAGCTCCCATAATTCCCACGTGTTGTGAGAGGGACCTGGTGGGAGGTAATTGAATCATGGGACCAGTTTCCCCCATACCGTTCTCGTGGTAGTAAGTCTCACGAGCTCTGACGGTTTCATAAACGGGAACCCCTTTCACTTGGCTCGAATTCTCTCTCTTTGCCAGCTGCCATGTAAGAAGTGCCTTTTGCCTTCCACCATGATTGTGAGGCCTCTCCAGTCACATGGAACTGTGAGTCCATTAAACCTCTTTTTCTTTATAAATTACCCAGTCTCAGGTATGTCTTTATCAGCAGCTTGAGAACAGACTAATACAGAAGCTGCCCCTCATTATCCTCGGGGGATACGTTCCAAGACCCCCAGTGGTTGTTTGAAACTGTAGATAGAGCTGAACCCTACACAAACTATGTGTTTTCCATCTGACAACTGAGTCAGTTAGTACGTGACTACCTGGCAGGCAGTGTACACAGCCTGGATCTGCTGGAAAAAGGAATGATTCACATCCCAGGCAGGACAGAGCAGGATGATGTGAGACTTCATCACACTACTCAGAATGGTGTGCAATTTTATGTTAACTTTTATTTTAAGTTCAGGCATACATGTGCAGGTTTGTTACATAGGTAAACTTGTGTCATGGGGGTTTGCCATACAGGTTATTTCATTACCCAGGTATTAAGCCTAGTACTCATTAGTTATTTATCCTGATCCTCTCCCTCCTCCCACCCTCCACCCTTTAATAGGACCCAATGTGTGCTGTTTCCCTCTATGTGTCCATGTGTTCTCATCATTTAACTCCCACTTACAAGTGAGAACCTGTGGCATTTGGTTTTCTATTTCTGTGTTAGTCTGCTAAGGATAATGGCCTCCAGCTCCATCCATGAATACAAAGTCATGTAATTTTAAAACATGTGAATTTCTGGAATTTTCCATTTAATATTTTCAGATCCTGGTTGACCTTGGATAACTGAAACCACAGAAAGCAAAACTGTGAATAAGAGGAGACTACTGTACCACAAACTTTGCAGCCTAAAACAACAGCAATTTATTATCTTACAGCTCTGGAGGCCAGAAGTCTAAAATCAAGGCATCAGCAGGACCACACTGTTTCTACATATTTGTAGGGAAATCCTTCCTTGTATCTTCCTAGCTTCCAGGAGTTGCCAGCAGTCTTTGTCATTCTTTTGCTTGTAGCTGCACAACAGAGTCTAGCTCTGTCACCCAGGCTAGAGTGCAGTGGCATGATCTCAGCTCACTGCAATCTCCACCTCATCAGTTCAAGCCATTCTCGTGCCTCAGCCTCCCAAGTGGCTGGGATTACAATTGCCCACCACTACGCCCAGCTAATTTTTGTATTTTTAGTAGAGACAGGGTTTCACCATGTTGGCCAGGCTGGTCTCAAACTCCTGACCTCAGGTGATCCGCCAACCTTGGCCTCCCAAAGTGCTAGGATTACAGGCATGAGCCACCATGCCCGGCCCACATGGTCATCTTCTTACAAGGACACCAGCTATATTGAATTAGGGGCCCACACTACTTTAGTATGACCTCATGTGAACGTAACTAATTACCTCTGCAATAACTGTTTCCAAATAAATTCACATTCTAAGGACATTCTTAGGACATCAACGTATCTTTTGGGGAAGGACATAATTCAGTTCCTAAAAGCCTACCCTCTAGCCCTCCAAAATGTATGCTCTTCCCAGAGTCATGTACCATATTGCAATATCCCTCAAAGCTTTAATCCATTCCAGTATCAAAAATTTCATCTATATTAGTTATGGGTTAGACTTAGGGTAAGATCCACCCTGGGGTAAAATTCTACTCATCTGTGGACCTCTGAAACCTAGAGAACAAGTCACCTACAAAGATACAATGGTAGGGGATTGTGCTCCATGCAGTCATTCAGGGACCTGAGCTCCTTGCATACTGTGGCCCTGCCACCCTCTGAAGCCTCAAACGTCTCTACAATCAACCAACGGAAGAGTAAGAGAAAGAGTGAGGATAAGGCAGGCTTGCCCTCAACCGCATCCTCTGAAAGGTTATACACATCATGTCTGCTTTTACACCATGTGCAAGAAATAGTCTCATGGTCTCAGTGGATTTGCAAAAGAGGTGAGCAGTGTGCCCAGGAAGAAGAGAGGAAAGCAGATATTGGTGAACACTAGCAGATTCTGCCACAGAGTCAACTAGATGACCCATAAAAACCTACCTTTTCCCCTGCATTGGTTCTCTTACCCCATCTACTGGCCAAAGCCATCAGAAGACTCTAAGCTCTTGAGGGAAGACAGAGCCACAAGGTGGAAGAAACCTGGGTCTCTGAGTGACTGCCTGACGCCCCTCCCACCACCAGCTGATTGCATTAAACTTAAGTGATAAATAAACTTCACTGGAATAAACTTCTATTAAGTCAAGCCACTGAGATTTTGAGGTTGTCTGTTGCTGCAGCTAGTATTATTTTAACAGACACAGGGCAGCCATGAATAATTGATAGATATCTCTGCAGAAACAGGATGTCTTCAAAACAAAATTCAGTTTCTACTCTAAAAATATATTTTTTATCTTATTTATTTATTTGGAGATGGAGTCTCACTCTGTCGCCCAGGTTGGAGTGCAGTGGCGCGATCTTGGCTCATTGCAACCTCCGCCCCCCAGGTTCAAGTGATTCTCCTGCCTCAGCCTCTCAAGTAGCTGGGATTACAGGTGCCCACCACCACGCCTAGCTAATTTTTTCTATTTTTAGTACAGACAGAGTTTCACCATGTTGGCCAGGCTGGTCTCAACCTTAGGTGATCTCAGGTGATCTGCCTACCTTGGCCTCCCAAAGTGTTGGGATTACAGGCATGAGCCACTGGGCCTGACTTAAAATATATATATTTTTTAATTCAAGACATCATTAAAAGGATAATTCCATTATCTATAACTTCTAGTCATTGTGTTTTTAAAGTTCCTGGCATTCAGTCTTGATTGCAACAACCTCTAATATTTATAAGAATGTTAATACTAACATAGTAAGAATAGTCAGACAAACTGGTGACAAAAGGAATAAAATATTAAACACAATAACTAACCAAAATTCTTATAAAAGCCTTGTAAACACTCTTTTGAGATATGCATCACGCTCATTTTATTACCTGCTCTATTAACTATCAAAATGTTTGCATATTTAAACCCTTTCTTGTTAAAGAAAACCTTTTCTTTCTTTGTTATGGGCCATTTACTTTATTATGTATTAAGCCAACAAGAGAAAAATTGATCTGACATTTATTCTAATATGTGATTTAATATACACATGCATGAGTCTTAGATATATATTTTTTTCCTATAACCACAAGCGAAAGTGTTTCTCTCCTACAGGCTACAGGGAAGTTTGTTAATATAGCTTTATAATTGATCCTTCTCTTATGTGGATGAAATTTCTAATTCAGTTACTGTCATTATAATCCATATACTAATCTCTTACCATATTTTAGTATCCAAAATAAAAATATTGAAAGATTGAAAAATTGGATAAAATTATCTTTGCAATTAATATTAACATTTATAAGAATGGGATCTTGTATAACCTAGAGAATTACTACATTTAATTTTGTTTACTCTTCTAATCACTGATCCTTTGTGTTGAGGGAGGTGACAGTTTAAGTGTACAATACATAATTGTATGTATATACATATTTATATTATGATGTTATCTTAATGATGTATATTTTTTAATAAAACCCTTTATGACTAAAGACATGCTGCCTCTCCAGGGGCTAGCCAGTTCTTAAAAATAGCCAAGGAACTCAGCCAGGAGCATTTGATATGCAAATAACCCAATCCAGAGCCAGACATCCTCCATCCAGCCCAGACACCTCAGGAGGCAATATTACTCTGCCATTATCATTCCAAGACCCAGGACCCCACAACTAGGGACCACCTATAGCTCAGAGCCTGCTGAAATCATTCAAACTAGCCAATCCTGCCCTGACTTGCTTTTCCCACAGAAACTCCAATAAAGGCTCTAACCTAATGCTTTCCCCCCACTCCTGTCTTCTGCCTCCTGACCACCTTGATGTCTTTCCCACATGTCCCTGTGACAAAGGGCATAACCTGCCTCCTGTCTTTAGGACATACAAGTGTGCAAACATTTTCCTGAGCTTCTCCCTGGTCTCCTCTTGTGCCCGTACCTGACTATCACATAAAAGAATACAGGCAAACCTTAGAGCTATTGCAGGTTCCCTTCCAGACCACTGCAATAAAGCAAATATTGCAATAAAGCAAGCCACCTGAATGTTTTGGTTTCCAAGTGCATATAAAAGTTATGTTTACACTATACTGCAGTCTGTTGAGCCTGCAATAGCATTATGTCTAAAATAAAAATGTACATACCTTAATTTAAAAATTCTTTATTGCTTAAAAAATGCTGATGATCATCTGAGCCTTCAGTCAGTTTTCAAAATAATTCAGTAAATTTTTTGCTGGTGGAGTATCTTGCCTCAATGTTGATGGCTGCTGACTGATCAAGGTGGCAGCTGCTGAAGTTTAGGGTGGCTGTGGCAATTTATTAAAATAAGACAACAATGAAGTTTGCTGCATCAATGGACTCTTCCTTTCATGAAAATATTTTCTGTTGCATGAGATGCTGTTTGATAATATTTTACCCATAGTCGAAATTCTTTTTTTTTTAATTTTTTATTTTATTTTATTATTATTATACTTTAAGTTTTAGGGTACATGTGCACAATGTGCAGGTTAGTTACATATGTATTCATGTGCCATGCTGGTGTGCTGCACCCATTAACTCATCATTTAGCATTAGGTATATCTCCTAAAGCTATCCCTCCACCCTCCCCCCACCCCACAACAGTCCCCAGAGTGTGATGTTCCCCTTCCTGTGTCCATGTGCTCTCATTGTTCAATTCCCACTTATGAGTGAGAATATGCAGTGTTTGGGTTTTTGTTCTTGCGATAGTTTACTGAGAATGATGATTTCCAATTTCATCCATGTCCCTACAAAGGACATGAACTCATCATTTTTTATGGCTGCATAGTATTCCATGGTGTACATGTGCCACATTTTCTTAATCCAGTCTATCATTGTTGGATATTTGGGTTGGTTCCAAGTCTTTGCTGTTGTGAATAGTGCCGCAATAAACATACGTGTGCATCTGTCTTTATAGCAGCATGATTTATAATCCTTTGGGTATATACCCAGTAATGGGATGGCTGGGTCAAATGGTATTTCTAGTTCTAGATCCCTGAGGAATCGCCACACTGACTTCCACAATGGTTGAACTAGTTTACAGTCCCACCAACAGTGTAAAAGTGTTCCTATTTCTCCACATCCTCTCCAGCACCTGTTGTTTCCTGACTTTTTAATGATTGCCATTCTAACTGGTGTGAGATGGTATCTCACTGTGGTTTTGGTTTGCATTTCTCTGATAGCCAGTGATGGTGAGCATTTTTTCATGTGTTTTTTGGCTGCATAAATGTCTTCTTTTGAGAAGTGTCTGTTCATGTCCTTCACCCACTTTTTGATGGGGTTGCTTGTTTTTTTCTTGTAAATTTGTTTGAGTTCATTGTAGATTCTGGATATTAGCCCTTTGTCAAATGAGTAGGTTGCGAAAATTTTCTCCGATTTTGTAGGTTGCCTGTTCACACTGATGGTAGTTTCTTTTGCTGTGCAGAAGGTCTTTAGTTTAATTAGATCCCATTTGTCTATTTTGGCTTTTGTTGCCATTGCTTTTGGTGTTTTAGACATGAAGTCCTTGCCCATGCCTATGTCCTGAATGGTAATGCCTAGGTTTTCTTCTAGGGTTTTTATGGTTTTAGGTCTAACGTTTAAGTCTTTAATCCATCTTGAATTAATTTTTGTATAAGGTATAAGGAAGGGATCCAGTTTCAGCTTTCTACATATGGCTAGCCAGTTTTCCCAGCACCATTTATTAAATAGGGAATCCTTTCCCCATTGCTTGTTTTTGTCAGGTTTGTCAAAGATCAGATAGTTGTAGATATGTGGCGTTATTTCTGAAGGCTCTGTTCTGTTCCATTGATCTATATCTCTGTTTTGGTACCAGTACCATGCTGTTTTGGTTACTGTAGCCTTGTAGTATAGTTTGAAGTCAGGTAGCGTGATGCCTCCAGCTTTGTTCTTTTGGCTTAGGATTGACTTGGCGATGCGGGCCCTTTTTTGGTGCCATATGAACTTTAAAGTAGTTTTTTCCAATTCTGTGAAGAAAGTCATTGGTAGCTTGATGGGGATGGCATTGAATCTATAAATTACCTTGGGCAGTATGGTCATTTTCACGATATTGATTCTTCCTACCCATGAGCATGGAATGTTCTTCCATTTGTTTGTATCCTCTTTTATTTCATTGAGCAGTGGTTTGTAGTTCTCCTTGAAGAGGTCCTTCATGTCCCTTTAAGTTGGATTCCTAGGTATTTTATTCTCTTTGAAGCTATTGTGAATGGGAGTTCACTCATGATTTGGCTCTGTTTGTCTGTTACTGGTGTGTAAGAATGCTTGTGACTTTTGTACATTGATTTTGTATCCTGAGACTTTGCTGAAGTTGCTTATCGGCTTAAGGAGATTTTGGGCTGAGACGATGGGGTTTTCTAGATATACAATCATGTCATCTGCAAACAGGGACAAGTTGACTTCCTCTTTTCCTAATTGAATACCCTTTATTTCCTTCTCCTGCCTAATTGCCCTGGCCAGAACTTCCAACACTATGTTGAATAGGAGTGGTGAGAGAGGGCATCCCTGTCTTGTGCCAGTTTTCAAAGGGAATGCTTCCAGTTTTTGCCCATTCAGTATGATATTGGCTGTGGGTTTGTCATAGATAGCTCTTATTATTTTGAGATACGTCCCATCAATACCTAATTTATTGAGAGTTTTTAGCATGAAGGGTTGTTGAATTTTGTCAAAGGCCTTTTCTGCATCTATTGAGATAATCATGTGGTTTTTGTCTTTGTTTCTGTTTATATGCTGGATTACATTTATTGATTTGTGTATATTGAACCAGCCTTGCATCCCAGGGATGAAGCCCACTTGATCATGGTGGATAAGCTTTTTGACGTGCTGCTGGATTTGGTTTGCCAGTATTTTATTGAGGATTTTTGCATCAATGTTCATCAAGGATATTGGTCTAAAATTCTCTTTTTTGGTTGTGTCTCTGCCCAGCTTTGGTATCAGGATGATGCTGGCCTCATAAAATGAGTTAGGGAGGATTCCCATAGTCGAACTTCTTTCCAAATTGGAATACATTCTCTCAAACCCTGCTCCTGCTTTATCAGCTGAATTTATAAAATATTATAAATCCTTTGCTGTCATGTCAACAATGTTCACAGCATTTTCTCCACGAGTAGATTATATTCTCAATCAACCACTTTCATGGCTCATCCATAAGCAACAACTCTTTATCCATTTTAGTTTGATCATAAGATGGCAGCAATTCAGTCACATCTTCAGGCTCTACTTCTAATTCTAATTCTTTTGCCATCTCCACATCCGCAGTGCCTTCCTCTGCTGAAGTCTTGAACTTCTCAAAGTCAGCCATAAGTGTTGGAACTCCTGTTAATGTTGACACTTTGACCTCACCTATGAATCACCAATGTTCTTAATGACATCTAAAATGGTGCATTCGTTCCCAAACATGTTCGATTTACTTTGCCCAAATCCATCAGAGGAATCACTATGTACGGCAGCTAACATTTTGAAATGTATTTCTTAAATTATAAGACATGACAGTCAAAATTACTCCTTGAACCATAGGCTACAGAATGGACGTTGTGTTAGCAGGCATGAAACAGTATTAATCTCCTTGTACATCTCCATCAGAGCTCTTGGATGACCAGGTGCATTGTCAAGGAGCAACAATGCTTTGAAAGGAATATTTTTTTCTGACAGGTAGGTCTCAACAGTGGGCTTAAAATATTCTGCAAACCATACTGTATACAGGTGTGCAGTCATCTGGGCTTCTTGTTTCATTTATAGAGCACAGGCAGAGAAGAGTTAGCACAATTCTTAAGGGCCCTAGGATTTTCCAAATGATAACTGAGCATTGGCTCCAACTTAAATCCACCAGCTGCATTAGCCCTTGACAAGATAGTTAGCCTGTCCCCTGTTTGGAAGCCAGGCATTGACTTCTCCCCTCCTGCTGTGAATGTCCTAGATGACATCTTCTTCCAGCAGAAGGCTGTTTCCTCTACATTGAAAATCTGTTGTCTAGTGTAGTCAGCCTCATCGATGATGTTAGCTAGATCTTCTGTGTAACTTGCTGCAGCTTCTCCATCAGCACTTGCTGTTTCACCTTGCACTTTTTTTTTTAGATGGAGTTTTGCACTGTTGCCCTGGCTGGAGTGCAATGGCATGATCTCAGCTCACGGCAACCTCTGCCTCCTGGGTTCAAGTGATTCTCCTGCCTCAGCCTCCTGAGTAGCTGGGATTACAGGTGCTCACTACCATGCCCAGCTAATTTTTTTGTATTTTTAGTAGAGATGGGGTTTCACTATATTGGCCAGGCTGGTCTCGAACTCCTGACCTCGTAATCTGCCCGCCTGGGCCTCCCAAAGTGCTGGGATTACAGACGTGAACCACCATGCCCAGCCCATCTTGCACTTTTATGCTATAGAGACAAGGTCTTTCCTTATACATCATGAACCAACCTCTTCTAGCTTCAAACTTTTCTTCTGTAGCTTTCTCGACGATCTCAGCCTTCATAGAATTGAAGGGAGTTAGGGCCTTGCTCTGAATTAGGCTTTGCCTTAAGGAAATATTGAGGCTCATTTGATCTTCTTTCCAGACTGCTTAAACTTCCTCCATATCAGCACTAAGGCTGTTTTGCTTTCTTATCATTCATATGTACACTGGAGTAGCACTTTTAATTTCCCTTAAAGAATGTTTCCCTTGCAATCACAACTTGTTGGAAAAATGGCACCAATAAACTTGCTCAACATAGAGTTTCCACAAACCTTCAATTTGTAAAAACCACAGTGTCTATAAAGCACAGTAAAGAGAAGTTCAATGAAACGAGGAATTTTTCCTTTGAAATCACAACTTGGTTAACTGTTTGGCACAAAAGGCCTAACTAGCTTTCAGCCTGTCTCCACCTTCAACACATCTTCCTCACTAAGCTTAATTATTTCTTGTATTTTATTTCAAGTGAGAGATGTGTGACCCTTTCTTTCATTTGAACACTTAGAGGCCATTGCAGAGTTACTAATTGGCCTAATTTCAATACTGATGTGTCTCAGGGGATAAAGAGGCCCTAGGAGAGGGAGAGAGATAGGTGAACAGCTAGTTGGTAGAGCAGTCAGGGCACATACCACATGTATCAAATTAAGTTTGTCATCTTATATGGCGTGGTTCATGGCAACCCAAAATAATTACACTAGTAACATCAAAGATGGCTGATCACAGATAACCATAACAGATACAATAATGAAGAAAACGCTTGGGCTGGGTGCAGTGGCTCACGCCTGTAATCCTGGTACTTTGGGAGGCCGAGGAAGAAGGATCACGAGGTCAGGAGATCGAGACCATCCTGGCAAACATGGTGAAACCCCATCTCTACCAAAACTACAAAAATTAGCCAGGTGTGGTGGTGCAGGCCTGTAGTTCCAGCTACTCGGGCGGCTGAGGCAAGAGAATCACTTGAACCCTGGAGGCAGAGTTTGCAGTGAACAGAGATCATGCCACTGCACTCCAGCCTGGCAACAGAGTGAGACTCTGTCTCAAAAGAAAAGAAAAAGCTTGAAGTATTGCAGGAATTACCAAATTGTGATACAGAAGCACAAAGTGAGCACATGACGCTGGAAAAATGGCACTGACAGATGTTCAACACAAAGTTGCCAGAAACCATCAATTTTTAAAAAACACAGTGTCTATGAAGCACAGTCGAGAGAAGTTCAATGAAACGAGGCATGCCTGTGGAAAACAGTCATACCCAGCCTGGATGCAACATACCTGCCATGAGCGCAGGTTCTGGATTTAGATGGCATGGGTGTAAATCTAGGCTCCACATCTTACACACTTGGGTTGTTACCTTAGGAAATTTACTGCAGTAGAATTGCAGTGGCTGTGAGGTTGAAGGCCACAAGAGAAGGATAAAGTTAAGAGAAATTCAGCTTGTAATTTTGTGGAGAAATTAAATAAGAACTCTGATGCAGCTTTGCCTGAAGTCCCGCTGCTACTGTTCTTTTACATTTACGTGAACCAATAAATTCTCTCTGTTGTTTAGGACAGACTGATAATAATGTTGTGTGTCACCAAAAGTAACCTACTAAGTCCTAACCTACTAAGTCCACATCTGATATGGTTTGGCTGTGTACCCACTGAAATCTCATCTTGAATTGTAGCTCCCGTAATTCTCACGTGTCATGTGAGGGACCCCGTGGGAAATAATTGAACAATGGGGGCAGTTTCCCCCCATAATTTTTTCGTGATAGTGAATAAGTCTCATGAGATCTGATAATTGTATAAGGGGTTTCCCTTTTTCACTTGGCTGTCATTCTTTCTTTCCCTGGTGCCATGTAAGACATGCCTTTGTTCTTCCCTCACCTTCTGCCATGATCGTGAGGCCTCCCCAGCCACATGGAACTGTGAGTCTGTTAAACCTCTTTTTCTTTACAAATTACACAGTCTCAGGTATGTCTTTATCAGCAGTGTGAAAACAGCCTAATACAACATCCAACAGCATTTGGCCTTTCTTCCAGATTTAGACTCTTCAGATGAATGGCCAAGGGTCTTGCTGCAAAATGCAGCATGCATTTTCTGTTCATGTCACATGATGCAATGTGCTGAACTTTAGGCCTTGCTTATTACAGAGAGAGGAGGAACAAGAAAAAAAGTGAAAAACTGTTGGGGTGATCAGCCCCAACATCAGGCCATGGGAGCTACGAATTCTGGCAGAGTTAAAGGAATGAGACAAGACAAGAGTGCATAAAGTGGGACCAGGGGGCCAACGCTAGTATGGAGGCTGTGAAGGCCCGGAGCTCTGGAAGCCTGCATTATTTATTGGTGATCAAACAAAGAAGAAGGTGGTGAGGATGTGGGGGTTGAAAAAAAGCAGTGTATCAAGAGCATGATCTACAGCTGTGACGGTTTGGCATTTTCTTTGAAGCATATGGAACATGTTCTGATACTTGAGATAATGGGAAACATGTTCTTCTAGTTTAAGATACAATCGATCTATGAGCCTGGGAGTGCTAGAAGCAAGGAGCCAGCAAGTCTAGACACATTCCAGAGGCCACAAGCAGTTTTATGCCCTAAGCCCTAGATTCCATCCAAGCCATGAGGGGTTTTATGCCCTGGGCTTAGATTGTGGTGCGGCAGGGCAGCCTTCCACCCTTTGGCACAGAGCTTGGTGTTCCAAAGGCCATGAGGGGTTTTAGACCCTGGACCTTGGACATGTTCCAAGACTCTTTTACATTATGTCAGATATACAAACCCTGCCTCAGCTTTTTTCCCAACACTCAGCTCTTCCCCAATAAAAAAAGAAAAAGACTTGCTAAAAAAAAAATAGTGTAAGGTGTAAGCCCAAAGGTTGCAAACACACAACATAAGAAAATGCTGGCCAGGTGTGGTGGCTCATACCTGTAATCCCAATATTTTGGGAGGCTAAGGCAGGAGGAACACTTGGGCCCAGGAGTTTGAGACCAGCCTGGGCAACATAGTGAGACCCCCATTTCTACAAAATTTTTTTAAAAATTAGCCAGGAATTGTGGCATATGTCTGTAGTCCCAGCTACTCAGGAGGCTGAGGTGGGAAGATTGCTTGAGCCTAGGAGGTTGAGGCTGCAGTGAGCCATGACCATCCCACTGCACTCCAGCCTGAGTGACTGAGCAAGACCTGTCTCAAAAAAAAAAAAAAGAAAGAAAAGAAAAAGAAAGAAGGGAAGACAAGAAAATGCTATCTCACAGATTGGCCACTTCCCTGGGCTTCTTGCCTAGTTTCTTATTTTATTTCTGCCCAGAGAGCCCTTTCCCACACTCAAAACTCTCCCTAAGCATTCTTTGGTTATAAAGCCTGCCCAGTCTATACGTATTAATGGCTGGGTGAGAAAGGCATGGATAATGGGTAAAGAGAAAGCATCTTTTCCAAACTCAAATATCCATTATGAAGCAAAAGGTTAGTTGCAAGCTTGCAATTCATCCTCTTCCTTTACTAGGTCTACCACTGGGAGGAAGAAAAAAAACACCCCCCACCCCACTCACATGTCCTAATAAACTAGTTATTAGAAGATAGTGTTGCCAGATGAAATACAGAATATCCAGTTAAATCTGACTTTCAGATAAACTACGGTGCTTTTTTTAGTAGCTGTATGTACCCATTACTGCATGGGGCATACTTATACTAAAATAATTCTACATAGAAATTCAAATTTAATTAGGCATCTTATGGTTTTATTTGTTCAATCTGGCATCTTTATTGGGAGACCTTCCAGCAAACACAGTGAAGGTATTTTCTAGCAGGAGAAGCCTTACCTATTAGCAGGATAAACCTGGACTGTCTAGGACTGTGTGTGTTAAATGCATCTGGAATCTATAAATTAGTGAGGCATGACTCCTTGAAAATGACTCGTTTGTTATAAAACTATCAAAATATAAAATAAAGCTGTTTCATGGTCAAACACCTCCTGTTTGTGGACAAACATGGTCACACGTTGGGTTACCACATAGATGTTCTTCTCACATCTCCCTTCAAGAGAACCCACTCCAGGGAGCTGAATTCTATGCATTCTATACAGATAGATATAGATATAGATATAGATATAGATATAGATATAGATATAGATATAGATATAGATATATAGATATAGATATAGATATATAGAGAGATATATATGCACACACGTATGTATGTATATATGTGTATATATATGTGTGTATATCTATATCTCTCTCAAATGCTCAAATACATAGAATTCAGCAGTTTTAGTGAACACAAGACAATGACAAATTGACAAGTCCTAATATATTTCCAGTAAATTTGATAATCAATTTCTCTCCTGTGTGACTATTCTCTGTTAATATCCAGAAGAGTCATTATCCAAGGCTGGACTGCACTGGTTGTTATGGTGAACTGTTTTCTCCTCAAGTTCAAATGTTGAAGTCCTAACCCCAAACAGGACTGACTTTGGAGACAGGGCCTTTAAAGAAGTGGTTAAGGTTAAATGAGGTTGTAAAGCTGGGATCCAGGGTCTGTGGCACTTTGTTATGGCAGCCTGAGCCAACGAATCAGCTGGGCTCACAGGCGGACGATGTCCCTGCTCATCTTCCTAGGGAGCCTTCATGCAGTCATTCAGGGACTCAGGCTTCCTCCTGCTCAAGCCTTGCCATCCTGTAGCTAGGCAAGGATGTAGGGCCTCAGGACCTTTACTCAGATCCTCTGCATCTGGCCAAGAGACTAGGGAAGGGAGTGTGTGAAGGACTGAGCAGGAGGCTACATGGAGAGAGCTACAAACGTGCACATCCCATTCCATGAGCCAGAATACAACTGATGGATGCTGGAAAATGCCATTCAGCTAAAGCCCCAGAGGCAAGGCAATGTTTGGAAACCAGCCAGCCAGTCTCTGCCACAGTAACATCACCCACCCTTGAATATTGTTGGCACAACTGAATGAGAGAATGCAAGGGCAGCGCTGAGCCCTATGCCTGGCTTATGATTAATAAGTAATAGTAATTTTTCTATTAGATGTGTGAATTAGATCTAAAAATATTTGCAAACAAGGTCAAGTGCCCATTATTATCACTAATAGTGTGTTGTCATTTCAGAGAAGTTGTGTATGAGCCCCTTTTGGTAAAGGCCAAGAGCCTGGGAGGTAAGTGTTCCTCCTGGAAAGAAAACTGGGCGCAAAATTGTTCAATACTATTTTTTGGAGAAACATGGATAAGAAAATGTGTTATGTAAAAGCTCAGACCTCTCTGAACATACAATGGAGCTTAAAACCATGAGGTTTTGTTTCCCACAAACCCCTAAACCATTCCTGTGGGATTAGGCTGAAAGTATCTTTATATATGGAGGAAAAAATGGAACTCAATTCAGGTGCTGTAGGGACTTAAGAGGTAACAGAACATCCCTCCCTTCAGCTCCCAAAGGAGGAGAAGGCAATAAAAGAGGTTATGAATGTCTAGAGATATTGGCAGAAACAGATTTAAGAAACATTGTAATTCATCAGCTCTGATCCAAAATCTTTATTATAGCAAGTGGTGGTTATTAGACAACTAGGCTTCGTGTATCCTCTGTGAAGTAGCAGCGGTGCTTTAAACCCACTTGAGCTGGTTAAGCTTTCATGGATTAAAAGCCTTTTAATAAAATCTGCTGAAAAGTTTTTCTCTCCAAGTGCAGTGCAGGAATGAAAATCATTGTACAACCATTATTTGAAACCTGGAGCAGAAAGATAATGGTCTCTGCTTTATAAATTTAGATGTAGCGATAGATTATGCCTCCCCATGCTGAAATCAATGGTAAAGGTCTATATAATAAGCATTCAAAAGTTCAGATGTTTATCTGAATTACAGGACCTACAGAGTCAGGTTTCTGCCCATCAGCTTGTCCAGGAGCAGGTTCATCTCTTTTGACACTAACATATGGCACACCAGTGTCTCCAAGGAGCACAGTCAGGGACCTCAACATGAGAGCACCAAGGGACAAGAGAAAAACTAAAGGGTTTTCCTACCCTGGCACCTAAATAAGGGATCACGGTAGAAATCAAAGGGTGCTCTGCTTTCAGATTAAACAAGAACCACCCCATCAATGGCACTGTCACACCTTCCTATCTTGAGGACTCCCCAGAATACCCAGGGCCCCAGAAGAGGCGTGAGGCTGCCTTTCAGGGAGGGTTGCATGCTGATAGTGGCCTGACTTTCCTGGATTCGGGTGCGAAAAGTATTGGCAGCTTTGTCTTCTCTCTGGCACCTGAACCTGTGCAAAGAGCCTACTAGAAACACAACCCTTCTCTCTCAGAACTATTGCACAGTCAGCTTACTTAATTTGCCTCTAATTAATTTAATATGCTGACAACACCCTACTCTTCTTTCCTCCTTCCTTTTCTTACCCCTTTCCACCTTTTTTTCCTCTTGAAACTTCATATCATACTCTCCTTTCTGCCTCATTTTATCAAACTCTGAATTGAAGGTCTTTGTAACTGTTCCTAAAACATCATACAAATATGTGCCCTTTACTGGGATCACTGCTCTGCAATCATATACACTTTCTGCTCACCATTTCCTCCCAGTATCAGAAGCCGCTGAGCTCCATCTAGTATAATATAGGAAAAGCAAAGCTAGGCACCTAGGGCGGATCAAGACTCACTAGTACACACACACACATGCACACACACACGTGCACACACATACACACACGCATACATATATACACACATGCACACACACGCCTATGCACACACGTACACACAGGCACACATGTGCACATGCATATACACATAGACTCATGCACGCACATATACATACAGGCACACACATACACACGTGCACACACATATACACATATACACATGAACACATGTGCACACACATATACGCACATACACACATGTGCACACACATATACACACATGCACACACACACAGTCACACACATATGCGCACACACGCACAAAAACCTCAACCTGTGTGGCATTTTTTTTCAACCCAGCATTTGACTCCTTTCAATATTCAGCATAGAAATATTGCAAGCCATCTAGGGCACATTGTAAGGAGCTTTAACCTAAAGGCCATCCCTAAAGCTTTTCCTTTAAAAGTGTGAGATGTAAGCTGGATGTGGGGGCTCATGCCAGTAATCCCAGCTATTTGGGAGGCTAAGGTGAGAGGATCACTTGAGACCAGGAGTTTGAGGCTGCAATGAGCTATGATCACATCACTGCGCTCCAGCCTGGGTGACAAAGTAAGATCCCTATGTTTTTAAAAAAAAAATTTAAGTGTGATATTTAAGTGAATGTACTATAGAACAAACCTGAAGTTTTTTCCAAACCAAAACGCCATCTATTTTTAAGAGAGCGTGCTCATGACTTCCCCACGGGAGACAAACCTAACATTTTGGCAGAGATATGAAAACAGATTTCAAAATCCTCCACTTTCCTTCACAGGTTGGAACTGTATATCAAATAATTTAAAATGTGATACATAATGGAGGTGTTAGTTTCAATTTGGTAGAAAATAAGAAAACATCACTTTTGTTATTGTGAAAATGCGGTTTTAACAATTAGTGACTATAATTTGGTGCAAACCTTGATAAGCTTTGAAATAGGAACTGTGGTTCCTAAGAAGTCCTAAGCACTAGTCAAGGTACCTAAATATTGGACAACTCTTGCTCCAATACTGAAGATTTTTTTCCTTACTTCAAAACTAGAAGCAATATTTTGTGGTTCGTATAGTCTTCATGCAACCAATAGAATCATTCCATATAGATGCAGAGTGAAGTATGATCTGGCCAAAATTAAGATGTGTAAATGTAGTTATTATAGGAAACCATCTTCTGTCTGCCACAGAGAAAACCAATCTGTGGACCAGCGAGGTTGCAGAAGACATAAGAAGCCAGGAAAAAGAGGACCCCTCAGACTCCGATGTCTTTCCAGGTCCTAGTTTCTGACACCCAATTTCAGCTTTTCTTTTGCATTCCACAAGACAACTCTGTTTCTTTTAATAGATACCCACTTCTGATTCAGCTAGCTCAAGGTGATTCTTGTCACTTGTGACCAAAGGTCCCGCCTTACAAAAATATCCAGCAGTCCTGTGAACTTCAAACCAGATTAATCCAGTCAATGAAGTTAAAACCAGAGCAAAAATGAATTTGCCAAGATGCCTAAATGGTCTCTCTGAAAATTTAAATTGCTTGGAATATAGTACCCCATAGATTCTTGTTCCAAACATGTTTTAACATAAGGAATCTTAGAACTAGAGAAATTCCTTTTTTAATCTTCTAATTCAATTCACCCAGAGCAGAACCCCTTTGAGTAACATTTCCGATGCTAGGAAACATTTTACCTCTCTTTTTATGGGTAGGATTGTCTTGTATGCAAGAAGTCTTTCCTTTGGGAGGTAAGATTGGCTTTCTCTATGTAGAAGACAGAAGACGATTTCCTGTATAGCCACATTTACATGTCTTAATTTTGGTCCAATCATATGTCACTCTGGAAAGCCATGCTATATGGAATGATTTTATTGGCTGCATGAAGACTATGCCAGCCACAAAATATTGCTTGTAGTCTTGAAGCAAAGAAACATCATCAGTGTGGGGGCAAGAGTTGTCCAATAGTCAGGTACCTTGACTAGTGGTAAGGCCATTGTGTGACTTTTCATGGCTTCACTACTAAGAGGATTAGACTTTCTAGTCCAGCCTTCCTCTAACTCAGGCACACAGAGGAAACCTAGCCTTGGTGCATGGATTTCCTCCTCTGGACCTGAACTCAGAGAAAGCCATGCAGAGACAAGACTAGTGGCAAGGTGGTGAGGTCTATTGTTTGCAGCATCAACACTCATGTGGTTTCTGTTACTTCCAACCAAAGCTCCCCACCTTGCACAAGTGTCCAGCAGGTTCTGGATTGATGGAATGACCTAAAACCAGGTTGCCATGTTGGGCTTCTGACAAGATCTTGGCTGCAGCCTATCAGCCTGCCTCTCTTGTACCTGCCAGTTTTCCGAGCCAGGGTTGCTTCAGTGAGCAAAGCACCAGGGGTACAAAGATGCTATTAATATGACTGCCATCTCTACTATTGCTGCCACTCCTAAGACACTGACTTCTACCATTGAAGGGGCAATCATAGTGACCCAGGCCCCTGCTGAGCCAGTTGCAGAATTTGCCTGATGTATTCTCCACTACCGCCCAATGGGTTGGTATTATCCTTGTCCTCCCCCTTTATAGATGAGAAAACTGAGGCTCAAAGAGATCAAACAGCTTGCCCTAGCATCCATAGGTATTAAGTATCAGAGTTAGGACTCTACCAATTCTGTCTGAATCCAAGGCTCTCTCCCTTAAACAGGTAACCCAGGTCTCAAACTCAAAAGCCCACAGGGCACATGTATACATATGTAACAAAACCTCCACATTGTGCACATGTACCCTAAAACTTAAAGTATAATAATAATAAAATTTTTTTACAAAAGCCCACAGGGGCCAGTCTGATGGTATAAAGGGTAGGAGTGAAGTGACGTGTGAGATAAAGTGGGAAGCATTGCCTCAGATCCTGCAGGACAGTGCAGGCAGAAATCCACTCCCAATGATGCCAAAGCTTCTGATTTTTAAAAAGAAATGAAGAATCTGCATTTTCATATAAAATCTGCTCATTTTTAATGTGAGCATCTGTTTCCATTTTTTAAAGGAAACACAACACTCTGGGAAGATTGAAACATACCTAGAGGTCCATGTTGGCTGCTGGACACAAGGTTGGGACTTGACCCTTGCAATGACCACTTCCAGGAGCTCTGGTGAGCTCTGCCCTTGCCTTATGGTGAAGATTCCCCAGACAAATGGGAGCCATTGTACTGCCCCCATCACAATCTGAATCCCAGGAAGAAAATGGGACTTCAAGGGGTCTGGAGGGAAGAGTGAAGGGGTGTGTGGCAATGGCAGCCAATGGCAGGTCCGTTGCAGCTCATCAGCAGCCCAGAAAAATCCAGTCTAGAGTCACTTCCACCTGCCGAGTTGCGTCAAGAGTGAGGACATTTCCATCTAAAAGCAGCAATGCTAAGGGTTCACGCAGGACACCAGTCTTAAGGTTTTGTAGATGTTGGGGGTGGGAGCAGGACAAAGTAAGGACATCAAACTGCCTGTTTTCTTAGAGGAAATACAGAGTGGTTTTAGGTAATTTGATACACCTGAAAATTCAGGGACTATGTTTTCTGCAGCATAAAACATGAACTCCTCAGAAGACTGCCAAAGCCTCCTATTAACCTTCCTGTCAATTGTACCCATCCCCATTCATATGCTGGAGTCATAACCCCCAGTACAACAGACGTAACCGTATTTGGAAACAGGGTCACTGCAGGTGGAATTAGTTAAGAAGAAGCCATACTGGGGAAGGGTGGGCCTCTAATCCAACAGGACAGGTGTGCTGATGAAGAGGGGAAATTTGAAGGTAGACACACACACAGGTAGAACATCACATGAAGATAAAGGAAGAGATTAGTTCCTTCTACTAGCCAAGAAATGCCAAAGATTGCCAGCAAACCACCAGTAGCAAGAGAGACACGGAACAGATTCTCCCTCACAGCCTCCAGAAAGCGCCTGCCCCGCCCACACCTTGACCTCAGACTTCTGAGCTCTGGAACTATGAGACAATATACTTATGTCATTTGAGCCATTCAGCTTGTGATGGTTTTGTTTTTTTTTTTTTTTTTGAGACAGAGTTTCGTTCTGTCACCAGGCTGGAGTGCAATGGCATGATCTCGGTTCACTGCAACCTCTGACTCCCTGGTTCAAGTGATTCTCCTGCCTCAGCCTCCTGAGTAGTTGGGATTACAGGCATGAGCCACGATGCCCAGCTAATTTTTGTAGTTTTAGTAGAGACGGGGTTTCACCATGTTGGCCAGGATAGTCTCGATCTCCTGACCTTGTGATCTGCCCGCCCCAGCCTCCCAAAGTGCTGGGATTACAGGCATGAGCCACCGCGCCTGGCTGCTTGTGATGATTTCTTAAGGCAGCCCCAGCAAATCAGTGCACTTGCCTTCCCTCTGCCTGCGCCCCAGCCACAGGGGCCTCCTGGCCTTCGCTCTGCTGTGCCCCTTGCCTCAGCTTGGAATGATCCTATAAAAGTCCATTCCCAAATTTTCTGCCCAGAAGGCTCTGGCACCAATAAGAATGGGGGTTTTTGTGATAGAAATCCAATGGTATCCATCAGTTCTCACGCTGCAAATAAAGACATACCCGAGACTGGGTTATTTATAAAGGAAAGAGGTTTAATGGACTCACAGTTCACGTGGCTAGGGAGACCTCACAATCATGGCAGCAGGCAAAGGAGGAGAAAAGTCATATCTTACATGTGGCAGGCAAGAGAGCATGTGCAGAGGAACTCACCTTTATAAAACCCTCAGGCCTCATGAGACTTATTTACTATTAGGAGAACAGCATGAGAAAGACCCACCCCCATGATTCAATTACCTCCCACTGGGTCCCTCCCATGACATTTGGGAATTACGGGAGCTACAATTCAAGATGAGATTTGGGTGGGGACACAGCCAAACCATATCATCAACCCAATCCAAACTGCCTTAAACAAAAGAGAAAGTTTATTGGCTCACCCAAGTGATATGGTTTGCATATTTGTCCCTGCCCACATCTCATGTTGAATTATAATCCCCAGTGCTGGAGGCGGGCTTGATGGGAGGTGTTTGGATCATGGGAGTGGACCCCTCATGGCTGGGTGCCAACTTTGCAATAGTGAGTGAGTTCTCAAAAGATCTGGTCATTTAAAAGTGTGTGGCACCTCCCACCACTTCACTATCCTTCACAGACCCTTCCCTCCGTCTGAACCTGCCTCATTCCCGACCAATTTCTCATTCTGTGTCTCATGAATGATTAGCTGAGATTAGAACTGCTTGCCCCTCTGAAATGAGCTAACCACAGAACATTTCCTGTTCAGCTGATGGAGACTTCCCCTGCTTGTAGAATTACTCAACTGTAAATATTCCCATCTGAAACTTGCGTACCCTCCCTATAAATGTTTAAGACAAAACCACTCTATGGAGACACTCTCAGTTTTAGATTTTCGGTGTTATTCCTATTGCAATTGGTTGGATAAAATCAATCTTCTTAACTTGTCTGGTTTTTGTCTTTTTTTTTTTTTTTTTTGAGACCGAGTCTTGCTCTGTCATCCAGGCTGTAGTGCAGTGAAGTGATCATAGCTCACTGCAGCCTTCAACTCCTGGGCTTACGTGATCGTCCCACCTCAGCCTCCTGAGTAGTTGGGACTATAGGCGTGCCACGCCATGCACAGCTTTTTTTTTTTTTTTTTTTTTTGCAAGAGACAGAAATTTCACCATGTTGCCAAGGTTGGTCTACAGCTCCTGGCCTCAAGCAAGCAATCCTCCAAACATGCCCTCCCAAAGTGCTGAGATTACAGGCATGAGCCAGCCTTGTTTTTGTCTTTGACAGTTGACTAACTTCAGATGTGGCTGGATCCAGGAATAATCAGACTCTCTTTTGCTCTCCTTCCTTGTTATGTTGGTTAACATCCTACCAACTTCAAGCACACTCCCCAACACACACACACACACACACACACACACACACACACACCCCTGCATCTTTTGAAACCCTTTTAAATTATTTTTATTGGCCAAAAACAGAGTGACATGCCTAGCCATGAATTCCCTGTAGCCTCAGTAAGGGAGGGCTCTGATCACTCAGATCTTGGTCCCTTGGCCCTCCCTAGAGCACAGCACATTCTGCTTTGCCTGCACAGTCCTTTATTCCTGCAAAAAATCTGGTGTTCATCTTACTCATAAAAGCTTCTGGGCTTGGTTGATCACTTATCTGGTATCCTAGGTCTGCCCTATCATAACTACATGAGCTAAAAATAAACATTGAGGGGTTACCAGAAGAATCAGGAAGAAATACTGCCCATGGAGACAAACAAATATGCTGACAGTAACTCCTGCTTATTTCTTTCTGCTGAGCTCAGATGAAACATCCACTGGGAAGATTTTCCTCGTTATTTCCTCATTCTCATGAAATCTCACCATTTCTATTTTATATACTCATATTTTTCACACATACCTGCCAATACACACTTTATTTTAATTACTTATTAATTTTCTTGAGGGCACTGATCATAACTTATCCATCCCTCTATCTCGAGTATGTAGTATAGGGCCTGGGATATTCATTCATTCATCCATTTAACAAACGCAATTCCATGCCCACAGTATCTGCTCCCAAGGTAACAGCTGGGAACATAAGGGTGATGTGTTAGTCTGTCTTTGTTGCCATAAAGGAATACCTAAGGCTGGGTAATTTATAAAGAAAAGAGATTTAATTGGCACACAGTTCTGCAGGCTGCAGAAGCAGCATGGTGCTAGCATCTGCTTCTGGTGAGGTCCTCAGGAAGCTTACAATCATGGCAGAAGGTGAACTGGTGGCCAGTGCATGACATGGCGAGACAAGGAGCAAGGTTGGGGAGGTGCCACCCTCTTTTAAAACAACCAGATCCTGTGTGAACTCACTGAGCAAGAATTCACTCATCAGTAAAAGGACAGTGCTAAGCCATTCATGAGGGATCTGCGCCCATGACCCAAATACCTCCCACTAGGCCCCACCTCCAACACTGGGGATCACATTTTAATATGAGACTTGGAGGGGACACAGATCTAAGCCATATCAGGCGGGCAAAACCAGACCTGCCCCAGCCCCGTGAGGTCTCAGTTCCAGTGGGAAAACAATCAAGTCTTCAAACAAACGTATGTCAAATGACCACCAGCGGAGAGCTACAGGGCCAATCTACATGGTCGTGCTAGTGTGGAAAGAGCGTGATGGGGTAAGAGCTACAGACAAAATCCAACAGAATATAAAATCATGTGATTTGACCTGCTCTTGCAGAATCAAAGACGGCTTCCCTAGGAGTGTGATGTTTGAACTGATAACCTGGAAGGTGACTGGCTAACCAGGTAACGACAGGTAAAGACTGATCCTAGCAGAGGGGAAATTGTGAACTAAGGGAAAGGCCAGCAGGAATGGGCCATGGAGGAGCATGGAGAACCCTAGTGTGACCAAGATGGAAAATCAGAAGGAGTCCAGAAGAAGCCTGGCTTTATTGGAAACGGGGAAAGGGTTAAAGCCTGTGGGAAAGAGGAGGATTTTATAGAAAAAGGAAATAGAAGGAGATTCCCATTTTAAATGATCCCACTGGTTGTAATGTAGAGAATGGATTTGAGGGTGCAAGAGGGGACGCGGGAAGTCCAGTTAGAAGGCACAGTTCATGCAAGAGGTGTTAAGAGTGACAACTCCAGTAAAAGTGGGCAAAATAAAACAAAATAGGATAAACAGGATAAAATGGCAAAATAAAATAGGACTGGGGAAAATGGAATGAAATGTAGAGACACAGAAGATACCTTGAAAAATACATAGAGATATGAATGTCACTTAAATAAGTACATTTCATACATTATTTTATGATCCTTTTAAGTTATAGACCTATTGAATAATTGAGAAGAAATGGATGAATAAACGAAAGAGTGTGGCAAAATTTAACAGGCTTTTTTATTGCTGGACATCTCAATCTTTTATATTCTGTGGTACCTTGTGAATCACTTAAAAATAAGATACAGTTTTCAAGGTTCCTCAGTATTATTTGACTCTGAAACAGCTTTTGTTTTCCCAGAAGCACTTCTCTTAAGGATGTTCCGTGAAAAACAGAATCATGAACCTTGCACAACCATCTCATTTTGCAGGAAGAGAAATTGGAGGTCCAGAGAGGAAAAATCATTTCCAAGCCCTCACACAGGCAGTCAGAGACTTACCATCATCACTTTTCAAAAGAAGTAGCTTGGTTTCATTTTAACCCATGAACTAATTCTCCCAAAGGATCCACAGCTGAGTCTTCAGAGAGCCACTCTCTGCTCAGGACTATTTCTGCAATTAGTCAAAATCATAATTCCCAGGCAAAGTACATCCTGATTTATCCTTAACCCCAAACAGAAAGCAACCTGTTTAAAAAGCCATTCCATAGAGTCGGCTGCCCTAAGACCCAGGCAGTGCTTTCTTCATTCTTCTCTTCTGTATGTTTGCACCTTTGAACTTAAAAGACAACCAACTCTCTAAATGCCCCTTCAAGCAGCTCTGGCAAGCTCCCAAATGATAATTAATGCACAGCGCATGCCAAGAGCATTCTTTTTATTTTATGTGCTGAAATAATAGACAATAACCCAGAAATGAAACTTTTGAGGAGATACAAGAGGAAAAAGAGATGTGCCAGTCTTGGGAACAGTAATTAGAATTTTGCACACAAAGATCCACACCGAGTTCTCAGAAGGCTAGAAACAGAGAGAAGGGAAGAAAGAAAAATTCACAGTAAACAGAGAATGCAATATAAACAGCTTATTTTATTTTATTTCTAAAGTGGATTCTTTGGGTAAAGGGGCTGTAATTAATTATAAACTATGCCAATGTCCAAGGAGAAGCCCACAGCAGTGGCCCCAGCACTTGACAGCCTGCTGTGAATTGAGGAATGCTCAATTCACATCAGGCTCAATTCACATCAATGCTCACTCACATGTGGCGGCTTTCCTCTTCCCTAAATGTGTTCCCGAGGAAATACCAAAGCTGGAAAGCCATTGACAACTCCCAATCTGTGGGCTTTTCAAGACAAGTACTTCCCTACCTATGTGGCCACTTCTCCTCCTGGACTTTGGGCAACTTAAGGGCAGAGAGGAAGCTTATGTTAGTTTCCTTGGGTTGTCCTAATAAATATCCACAAACTGGGTATCTTGCAACAGAAACCCATTGTCTCTCAGTTCTGGAGGTCACAAGTCAGAAATCAAGGTGTTGGCAGGGCCATTCTCCCTCTGGATTTTCTAGGTAAGAGTCCTTCTCTGTCTCTCCCCTAGCTTCCTTTGGTTGCCACAATCTTAGGTATTGCTTGGCTTGAGGACACCTCACTCCAGTCTCTGCATCCGTCTTCACAAGGCTCTCTCCTCTCTCTTTCAGAGTCTTCACATGGATTTCGTATAAGCACACTAGTCATTGGATTTAGCTCAGTGACTAACCCAGACTAGTCATTAGCCTACTCTAATCCAGTATGACCTTATCTTAATTCAATTACATCTGCAAGGACCCTATTTCCAAATAAGGTCTCACTGGTAGGTGCCCAGGGTTGGGATTTAACATATCATCTTGTGGGAATGCAACTGAACCCACAAGAGGATCTTACCACCCACTGTGTTCCCAGCACCCAGCACAAAACAAGGTGAAGTGTAGGTAGACTCTCATTATTGTTTCCAATTGAATTGAATTGAATTGCACCAAATGAAAACAAATCATCAAATTGCACGTAGAAAAAATAAACAACAAAAAAACAAAAACCTCAAGGCCAAGATCTGTAAATCTAAAGTGGCTAGAAGCTACCTGGTAGGGTTCTACCATTTAATATTCATCAATGCCTCATCTCACCCCATCCCACCCAGTTTTTTTCTCTTAAAACTCCAGTTTCCACATAAACAGCCCCAGGGATTGTTCCTGCCATGCTCAGGACCCTATTCAGGTAATGAGCTGTGTCTCTCACTAGCAAGAAGGGCAGGTGCCAGAGGAAGGACCCTACTCAGCCCTGGAGTTATATCCCCACCTCCTTCTGGGTGGCCTCAGGGGGTGCCATGGGGCCACTGGGTACACTGAGTCATACACCTCGGGATCCACACACTCCCCTGCTGGAACTGCTAGAGAACTGTTCCAGTATTCCACTCTCACGTGTGTAGACCTAGATCCATTTCCTCCAAGCCTGAATTAAATGTTTGCAAAGGCAATGTCTCTCCTGCAGGCTGACCTCTAATATCTACAGAGTCTAGCGAATAAGGGAAATGAAGCACCATGTACCCTACACCTAAAAGCTCAAAGTTAAAATCCAGTAAACAATCCTTAAAGCACGTTCTGTCCCTCTACTTTAATTTTAACCTTTATAACCACTTTTTTAAAAGCCAAGTTTGGATTAAACTTCTCAAACTTCACCGAGTTTTACACCAAAAAATATGGGGAAGACCAGCCTGTGGTTCCCAGGCTCTTTCCCTTTTCCCTTTTCTGTCCTCTGCCCCCACTTTTCCCTTCTCTGCCCAGCCCAGAGCAAAAGGGCCTCTCACATGCAGAAAGGCAAACCCCACAGCCCACACACCTGACAGTCTCAGACAACTGTTGAGAAACTGCCCTTCCTTGGCTACTCCGAAGTCCTGGGGGCAGCACAGCACAAGAGTGTTGGGGTTCACTCACAGCAGGGAGGTCCAGGCAGGTCCTCACTGCTGAGCAATGGAGAAAAGCCAGAATCTAAGCATCCAGGGCCCACATTGCCACCTTGAAGGCAGAAGATGCCCTGGAAGACGCAGCCCTTTGTCCCCACTGATCAATGGGCAGTCTATTCGTTTCCTGTCACTGCTATGACAATTGCCATAAGCCAAGTGCTTAAAGCAACACATTTATTATCTTACAGTTACAGAGGTCAGAAGTCTGGAGTGGGTCTGCAGGCTGTGTTCCTTCGGACATTCAAGAGAAAAAATCGTTTCCTTGCCTTTTCCTGCTTCTAGAGGCCACCCGCCTCCCTGGGCCTGTGACCACCCCTGCCTCTGACCTTTGCTTCCATCACCACGTCGCCTTCTCTGACTCCCACCATCCTTCCTCCCTTTCTATAAAAACCCCTGTGATTACATTGTGCACACCTGGGTCGTCCAAGATAATCTACCTATCTCAAGCTCTTAACTTAATCCCATCTGCAAAGTCCCTTTTGCCATGTAAGGTCACATATTCACGGGTCCAGGGATTAGGATGTGGACATCTTTTGGACCCTTGTTCTGCCTACCACAAGCATTATTTCCCGGGGGGCTTTGGTAAGGATGGAGAGTCGGCCAGGGCAGGTGTGTGGTGCCGACAGCAAAGATATGAGAAAGCCCCCAAGATTGCTCAGAGTTCATGCTCACTCCTGAATCAGCAGAGCAGCCCTCCTCCTTGTCTCTTTCTTAAAATCTGCAGCACACAGCAAAGGCCTGAGTGGGAGGAGGGCGTCATGCTTTCACACTGAAAGCTCAAAGGAGGACTTCCAAAGAACTATTCAGTGCTTGGTGGACATGGAAATACTGCTCATGAGTTACACAATGAGGAAAGCTAGAAAGGTGACAGTGTGCTCACCCTCTCAAGAGTGCACTTCTGGCCACCACAGGCCAGGTCCTTGCACACCTTTTTGCACACTTCTTTTTTTTTTTTTTTTGAGATGGAGCCTTGGTCTGTTACCAGGCTGGAGTGCAGTGGCACGATCTTGGCTCACCGCAACCTCTGCCTCCCAGGTTCAAGCAATGCTCCTGCCTCAGCCTCCCGAGTAGCTGGGACAACAGGTGCATGCCACCATGCCCAGCTAATTTTTGTATTTTTAGTAGAGACAGGGTTTCAAGATGTTGGCCAAGATGGTCTCGATCTCTTGACCTGATGATCCGCCCACCTCAGCCTCCCAAAGTTCTGGGATTACAGGCATGAGCCACTGCGCCCGGCCCCTTGCACACCTTTGAAAACACCCAGCTATATCGACGTGTCTGTAGTTTAAGGTGGACATCTGAAAGCCCCAAGTATGCATTTCTTTTTTACATTTCCTACAATTCAGTCATTGCAAAAACTCATTCTCTCCAGTAAGTTTCTTCTGATTGCTTGAACTGAAAAAGGTTTAAATGGAGATCATGTGCCAGGCAGAGAGGGTTTCCTGGTGAACTTCTCTAAGCAGTTAGCGTCCAAATCTGAGCCCACCTGTAAGCTGTTTGGAAACAAAAGAAGGGATCTCACCTGGGTTCTGGATATTTAATCCGTGACTTCACTTAGGCTTGGCAAGAGGGGCCGTAACCTCTAGAAGCAGGCAAAGAAATGGTTGCAGGGAGGCGGCCTTGTGAGGAAAGGGCGAGGCCTGGGAGGCTTTATATCTGGGGAGGAGGCAGGTCCACAGTCAATTCACCTGTGATTTCATCTTCCTGCTCCAGCCAGAGACACTCTCTCCCCTGCCTCCTGTCCTGGACTAAAGACAAGGAGTGAGGATGAAGGGCCAACCCAGACACCAGCTTCCCAGAGAAAAGGCAGAGCTGGGAAGAGCAATGAGCCATGAGGAAGAATGAGCCACTAATGAAAACGCTCATAGCAATCCTAAGTCCACGTCAACACCGGCTGCAGAAAGCAACAGAAATGGACGGCACAAAAATAAGACTTACTCTGTCTTAGAATTATCAGAAGAATTTGAAAACCTAATATATTTGCACAGCCCTTAGAAGACTGCCGGTTGCATCACAAAAGATAGGTGAGCATTAACCACTAAATGTTATTGATTCACACCTGTCTCACCTCTAGCACAGTCTCCCTAAGGACAGTGACCATATTTGATTTAGTTGCCAATGTGTTCTCGGCACTAGCAGGTGCCAGCTTGTAGAAGATGCTCAGTTAACACCTGCCAAACAGACAAATGAGGAACAGTATGGATGCATATGATACTAAGCATTTGCAAGATTAAAATTCAAATATGTTTATCAGAAACTGTGAAATCATGCTGCAGAGCCTTTCTCTAAACACAACTTTTCCAAATGTGGCCTTGATTCTGTCAATTTCCCCAGAGGACCAGCAACCATCTCTAGCTTGTTTTACTTTTTTTAACTTTTATTTCCAACTTTTTTTTAAAAAAAAACTCCTGTCTATTGGGTAAATGCACATTTACAAAACAGGAACAAACAGATGTCTCTCATTAGTACAAGATGGCTTTAATCTTTCTCACAACTTTAATTTTATTTTTCTGTTTAATGTTTATAACATATTTTATGGAATAAAGACTTCAGGCAAACAATGCCATTTCACAAGTTTCCACTCGGGGAAACCCTGCAGAGTTTAGACTGGGGACACCCCAGCTGCCATTTTTAATTGGTTCTGATGTTGGGGAGAAGCAGTCTCTCTTTGGTGCATCGTGGGGTTCACGTGAATGTTTACCTATTTTTCTGTAATGGACTTGCCCCAGTTTCCACTCTTTCCGCCTCACAAACACAGAATGTGCTTTTAAGCTAATTACCTGTATGTGTTTCTTCTCCATCTCTCTGTCTGGCAATTACCTGTATGTGTTTCTTATTCATCTCTCTATCTTCTTCATCTCTCTATCTTCTTCATCTCTCTATTGCCAGAGTTAGGCAATCATGTCCGAAGGCTGTGGACCCATCCCATTTGTGTGAGTGTGGTTGGATGGACGTGAGATGGCTCAATCCCAGATACTTCTTTAAATGCTACGGAGAGAGACATTACACGATTTATCTGTAAGGCCCAAAATGGCCCCCAGGAAACTACCAACATGCCCTTTAATGGGTCAATGGTTAAACAACTGCGGTGTAGGCAGATCATGGAATCCTACTCTGCTAGCAATGAGTAAACTAGTGATACACACAGCAACCTGGATAAATATCAGGGGCGTTGTACTGAGGGAAAGAAAAGCCAGTCTCAAAAAAGTACATGTGACACGACTCCATTTGAATTAAGTTTGTGAAATAACATAGTGATACAGATGAGAACAGACTAGTGGTTACTAGGAAGTAGGGGCTTGGGGAGAAGAGACTGAGGCTCTAGAAGGGTAGCACTAAGGAGTTGTAGGGTGAGGGTACAGTTACGTACCTTGATTGTGGTGGTTACACAAAACTGTCTATGTGGCCAGGTGTGGTGGTGCACACCTTTAATCCCGGCACTTTGGGAGGCCAAGGTGGGTGGATCACCTCAGGTCAGGAGTTCAAGACCAGCCTGGCCAACATGGTGAAACCTCGTCTCTACCAAAAATACAAAATTAGCAGGGTATCGTGGCACACACCTGTAATCCTAGCTACTTGGGAGGCTGAGGCAGGAGAATCGCTTGAACCTGGGAGGTGGAGGTTGCAGTGAGCTGAGATCGTGCCACCGCGTTCCAGCCTGGGCCACAAGACTGAATCTCCAACTCAAAAAAAAAACAAAACAAACAAACAAAAACAAAAAAACTATCCATGTGATAAAATTGCATGGAGCTATAAAGTAAGCACATACAAACACACACGCACATACACACAAGAGTGCATGTATAACTGGCAAAACATGAATGAGCACTGTGTATTGTACCAACATCAATTTCTTAGTTTGATATTGAACTACAGTCATGTGAGATATTAACTTTTTAGGAGGCTGCTCAAGCGTTCACGGCATCTTCCTGCATGTTTCTTTGCAACATCCTAGGAATCCGTAACTATTTCAAAATAGGTATTTAGGAATACATATGTTGGCATGTCAACCTTAAAGAAATTTTAGCTTTGGTTATAAATTCAGTTGCAGCCTATGGATATCCCCTCCTGTAAGCCAGAAATATATATAATATATATCTATTTCAGTGTATCAAAATCCATACACATGTCTGGGGTCTTTACAACCTAACCCAAGAACCTGGGCATCTAAATCTGGTCCACCTAGTCTCTCTCTCTCTCTCTCTCTCTCTCTCTCTCTCTCTCTCTCTCTCTCTCCCTCTCTCTCTCCCTCCTCTCTCTCTCTTCCCCCCCCCTTCCGCATTCAGCTATTGTATGTGCTTCCGTTTTGTGCTAGGAGTCTCGAGTCAGATACTCTTAACTCCATCAAAGACGTATTATTCTGAGACCAAATGTCTTCATTGTCTTCATCTCCCCCCCAGCCTTTGTTTCTCTTCTCTTATAATACATATATGATATTAATTTCTGGTTCTGACTGGCAGGATTCTCCTGGCACTTCCAGAAGAAGGAAGAAAGGAGCAACTATACAGAGATTTCTGACATACCTCAATACAGAATAAGCATTACAGGTTCCAGTTAAGTTCAATAACTAGCCCCACGCACGACAAGGGCCACTCGTCTTCAGCAATTTTCATTCACGATTATTCTTTTTCGTTATGTTCTTCCCTCCAATTCCCTGTGTATCATGATCCTTTTAAAATAAAAAACCTTTAACAGTCCCAATTCATCAGGTTTAAACTTCAGTTTATAGCAGGTGAGCTGTTGATTACTCAGTTTAATTAAAATGTAAACCTTTGCAGCTAAAGTGAATAAGTCAAAACTATAAAACCATCGCAGAAAACTTGAAAATCCTGCCTGAGCATGGTATTCACCCTCCTCCTCCATTCGCACTTGGAGAAGTGTTCTCACTGCCACTTTTCCCTGCCATCCTCTGCCACAGTCGAATCCGAACTAACACCCAGACTGATGATACATTTGCTCCTGGAAAATCATTATCAAAGTGCAGGGCCTGCGCTTTCTCAACAGGACAAGCTGGCTGGGGTCACCGTGCTAACTAAGAGTGTGAAGTGACAGCCCCAAGAAAGAAAAATTCAAATAGGAGGCCATCTCTTCACTTCTGATGACCATTTTTCCATAACCACCCATGTTGGGCACCATCTTGAGGAGGCATTTCTGATGAAAGAAAGACGTTGGATCCACTGGAGTCTAACGTCTAGGAAAGAGACAATAGGTCATAAGTGGACTAACCAAAAATAAGAAAGAAAGGTAAGTTCATTTTCTTCCTTTTCGTTGTTTCATCTGTTCCAAGGCCTCATTCGGCTCATCGAGACAGTAATTTGCATTTAAAAGTACAAAGCAGCTTTCAGAAAGTCTGTGCATTTTATGCCTCAGAGGAAGCAAAGATACCTTTAGGCAGCCAGTCAGGAATAATGAAGAAACACCACCATCAATAACAACAATAAAAACAAGAAAAATGTCTATCTTGTTTGGTGCAGGAAAGTGCCAGGCATTTAGTAGATAATTATTAAATATTTAATAGATGAATGAAAAAAGAAAGGTCACTTAAAATTTATTTTGTATGCCCTCTCTTTTTGTCCATACACATCCTAAATAACTTTGTTGTTACTGTTCCATATAAAATATTTGTTTTAATTATTTAATTATTAAATAATTATTAACTATCTAATTATTAATGCTTACTATTATTAATCTAATTATTAATACTAATCTACATTAACTTAATTACTAATTATTTAATAATTAATTATTTTCAGAGACACCTCCAAAAAGACTGTAATTCTTTGACATCTACACTGATTCCAATACCTTGGAGCTAAATATTAAGCAGGGACTAGACAAATGGCTGCGATACGGACAGGTCAAGGGCAGGAAGGACGTAGAATGGCAGGGGCTGGATGAGTAAAAGCCAAAGGCTGGAAATAACTATGGCCTAACTAGGAGTAATATAGGATGAATGTCTGTTAGGAACGAGTGCAGCCACAGTAATAGAGAGCACATTAACACTTTGTTAAACCACAGAGATATGATTAGCAAGAAGCATTGAAATGCATGGAGAAAGGGTTCAACAGCTCACCTATGTCATCAGGGCTCCAGGCTCATCTCTCACCGTCAGCTGATTGACTTTAATGTGCAGGGTTGTACCTCATGGTAACAATATGGCTGCCACATATCCGGACATCACACCCTCATAGTGCAGCCCCCAAAAGTAAAAGGGAGTAAAAGGGATAGGAATGGGTTTTTTGATTTTGCTTTGTTTTGTTTTGTTTTTTTGCATTACTTTTACTTTTATCAGAGAGAAATTTTTTTTGGAAGATGCCAGAAGACTGCTTCTAAGTATGTCTCAGTGGGTCAAACGATGCATCCAACACCATTGACAGCCACAAAATAATAGAACCACCATAACTGGCATGACAGAACAATCATGATCTATGCCCTGGACTAGAGGATAGGCAAACGCTGCCACCTAATATCTGAAGAAAACTGGCGATGGCTGCTGGGGGAATACCCAGCAACCTTTAATTCCTCTCCTCCTTAACAGACACTGTTCTCCCTTTACAATGAATAGGAAGGAGGCATCAGGCTCATTTCTGTTTTCTTTTTGTCTCTATTTTCATAATTATTTTCTATTATAAACAAATTATGTTGGTTTTCTATTCATACTGTTCATGTGGTTTCCATGTTAAACATTTGTATATAAGGAACATATTTTTAAATAAAAATATGAAGTCATTAACAATGCAAATAGTATGAAAAATATTATTTAAAAAGCAGTAAGAGTGTTGCACAAAGACTGGAAATTGGGCCGGGCATGGTGGCTCACCCCTGTAATCCCAGCACTTTGGGAGGCCGAGGCAGGTGGATCACTTGAGGTCAGGAGTTTGAGACCAGCCTGGCCAATGTGGCGAAACCCCATCTCTACTAAAAATACAAAAACATTAGCTGGGCATAGTGGCACACACCTGTAATCCCAGCTACTCAGGAGGCTGAGGCACGAGAATCACCTGAACCCAGGAGGCAGAGGTTGCAGTGCGCCAAGATCGCACCACTGCACTCCAGGCTGGACGACAGAGCAAGACTCTGTCTAAAAAAAAAAAAGAGAGAGAGATTGAAAGTTGGGAAACTCTGGGTAGAGAGTCCTGGGAGAGAAAGTTTAGGGATCTCTCAAGGTCCTTCAAGATAACCCATTATGTATTAGGGAAAACTGAAAATTGCATCCTCATTAATTTAAGGCAAAATCAACAGAAATCTAGACTTATGTCAGCTTATTTCATAGTTAAGAAATCTAAGCTTATTTCCTTCTGATGCCATCTTGCCACTCCTGATAAATCCCCAAACAGTTTCCCGGCTGGTGCGGATTCACGTATGGCCAGATAGTGGGCTGCTGTATCATTCACTGAATAACACATTGGCATTCCCCATTGATCACTGCCACAGTTACAATGGTTTCTGAAAACAACCTGAAGTATGCAAGGTCATGATTCAAAATACATTGATTTTTGTCCTAAAATTTAGAATTATAACGACAGAGAAAGCCATGGGCTAATACATTTATGTCAGTGATATGTGATTTATCTTTAGATGATGTTTCTTAAAGCAGTAAGTGGAGTTAAAGAAAAATGCTAACTTGTACAAAGTCAGTATGAGATGGTGTGTGGTGACAAGCAGATTTTTAAAGTCATAAGGATGACTCCTAAATGACTGAAATGTAGGAAAATCTGAGCTCTAGTGCATGGCAAGGCAATTTGTGCAGGGGTCCAGACCCTGTCTGAGCAGAATCCCAGGGCTGAGGAGACATGTGTGAGGAACTTGTTATCTATCTTACCCATTCTCCTGTCTCCACACAGAAACCTACTGAATCCGTCCTAGCTAGAGAAGAACCTCTTTGATATTTAGAGCCTGCTATGGTTTGAAAGTTGGTGTCCTCAAGATTCATATGTTGAACTCCTAATTCCTATGACAATGGAATTAGATGGTGGAGATTTGGGGAAGTGATTAGGTCGTGAGTGTGGAGCCCTCATGAATGGAAATAGTGCCCTTATAAAAGAAATCCCAGGCCGAGCGCAGTGGCTCACGCCTGTAATCCCAGCACTTTGGGAGGCCGAGGGGGGCAGATCACGAGGTCAGGAGATCAAGACCATCCTGGCGAACACGGTGAAACCCCGTCTCTACTAAAAATACAAAAAAAATAGCCAGGCATGGTGGTGGGCGCCTGTAGTCCCAGCTACTCGGGAGGCTGAGGCAGGAGAATGGCGTGAACCCGGGAAGCGGAGCTTGCAGTGAGCCGAGATCGTGCCACTGCACTCCAGCCTGGATGACAGAGCGAGACTCTGTCTCAAAAAGAAAAAAAAAGAAAAGAAAAAAGAGAGAAAGAAAAGAAAAAGAAATCCCAGAGAGCTCCTTCATTCCCTCCACCTGGTGGGGACACAGGGGGAAGCCGCCATCTATGAACCGGAAGCAGCTCCTCACCAGACAACAAATCTGCCGGCCCCTTGATCTTGGACTTCCGGCCTCCAGTCTGTGAGAAATAAATTTCTGTTGCTCATAAGCCACCCAGTCTATGGAATTTTTGTTTTAGCACCAACTCTGAGCACTGAACAGACTAAGACAGAGGATCCTGGGTATTATAGTGTGTAACAGAGCGGGTGAAATGAACTTGTGAAGTACATCAAAAAATAAGCACATTAAACGAAACAAGAGTGCTCACTTTTTGTAGCCAGGACAGCTTACAGCACAAGCGTTCCCCTCTTAGATTAGCCATCATCGCGTTATGACTTTCTTAAGTTTGGACCTAAGGTTTAAAGCAAAAGAGTAATGATGGATTCTTCAAAAGAGCTGGCAGGCCTCTAGAAAGCAGAATGTGGTAAGTGCCCACTAATGAAAGCACGTTCTAATTTCCTTTTCTGGTGAATGTTTATTTTCTCTTTTTCAAAGCAAACTCTGTTGAGCACCAAGGGTAGAAATGCATCAACCTTCTTCCATCTTGAATTAGTAGGAGAACACTCAGTCTATGCTGGTTTAAAAGTCTGAAGTTTGAGAAATGAGAAAAATAAATATAATGGTATTACCACCCAACTCAGATCAAAGATAATTTAAGTGACAGTGGCAAACATCAAGGCTCAACCATTTTAAATAAATAAATAATAATGTATTGCTATTACCTTGTCAGGCCAGTATAAATGTGGCCAGAGAGTTTTGTTGTTGCTCGTTGTAGTTGTTTTCCTTTAAGAGGCTGCAATAATCCTGCTCATTACCTGTATTTGTGATGTTAACTTGGGCACTTTTTCTTGGCTCACCGAATATTTTCATAATGACCTGTCAATTTGCCTTGTCCCAATTATCATGACTTTCAAATTAAGGACATCTGAACTAGCGGCGTTTGTGGAATTGGACACGGACAGTAAATCACAGAAAAAGGATTTTCTCTGTTATAGTTGAAGAAAACCACAGCCAACTCATGGCTGCTGTTCTGAGCACTGACCACGCCTCCCACACTGTGCTGAGAAGGTTGCTACATCTCCCATTTGTCATCACAACCACCATGAGGCAGACAACCATGACCCTTCACAGATGCCCGCCACCTCCCCCACAACCCCACAGACAGGAGGCATTATATTGGGCACAAGGGTGCCATGGCCCCTCATCCTCCAGTCTCCCTCTTCCCAGACCCACTGATGCCCCTTTCCTCTCCCAAGAAGAACTATCAGGGCCCTGAGATATCCTACCTAGCATCAGACCACATTCAACTTGAGAGCCCAGAGGCTGAAGCTGGTGTTTCAAATCTCTCTCTAATACCAGGTTTCTCAGCCAGGGCTCAGAAGCTGAGGGGCAAACAGGCACAGGTGTGATCAAGAGTCTGACTCCATTGTTCACATTAGCCCCATGAGACTTTCAAACCCCACCTTCCCCGACTCCCTCCTCCTCTTCTGCCTCCCATCCAGGCAAGACACAAGAAAGCCAGTGCTGCTGCCTCCTTTGGCACCAGGGGCAAATTCAAACCATGAAATCCCCCAGCTGCATGGGAACTTCTCCCCAGCCCCACCTCTACCCACCAGAAGGGCCCAAACCATTTTCTCTGTCTTGCTTAAGCCAGTCTGACCCTGCTTGTGCTACCTGCCCTCCACAGGGCTCCCTCGAGTGAGTAATACACTTTCTCTCCAATTCTCTTAGTGTCTGGAGTGTCATTAGCCCTGACATCCCACTTACACCTATTGGGAGAAGTCCATCCTCAAGGACCACAAAAGATCAGGATTAACTGCCCCTATGTAGCTTTGGAAAAATAGCTAAGTTTTTGCATACCTCAGTCTTCTCATCTATATAATGGGGATACAGGCAGATACAGCTGGTTACTGTCCCAATAGCTATTCCTTCTTAAGAAACCTGAATTTTGCTCAAGTTGGCAGTTGGGAAAAAATGTATAGACTCCTCCTAGCTTTCCTTGAGTAGACAAGTCCTACCGTTCCAGCCAAATAAAATTAGACAGAGGTCCCCAGGTGTGGCTTCTAAGAGACACCACAGAAAGAGAGACACCATTGGGCATTTTCTCTTCACCTTTTGCCCTCTGCCTCATCCCTTCTTTCCTATAAAATAGGCCAAGGCAATGAAAGTCCCAGGCTGAGGACACAGCTGAGAGACCATGGTATCATCTGGCTGCACCCATCCTGAAATGCTAATTGCTGGGTTTTACATTACATAAGAAATCAACACACACACACAAACACACACACACACACACACACGCCTTCTTCCTACTTGTGTATGTGGATGGGTTAGGATGTCATGCTCAGAGTCCTGACAGCCATTCTGTGACCATGAGGGAACAACACTGAGAACCAGTCAGTACACTGAGGAGGACATGGAAGAGCTCCAGAGACAACCCTAAAACCGCCCAGGTTTAGGCTCCCTGGTGTCTGAGATAATCGCCTCTCTTGTTTAAAGTCTTTCTAGTTCAACATTCTGCTACATGGCACTAATACTAGGTAGCATTAAAGATTCCAAAGAAACTTACAATTCTAATTGTGAAGTTCCAAGACCCATTATAAACACATGAAGATCTTCTGGTGTTGGGAGTATCCTTCCCCAGTGCCCTAAAAATATAAAATATAGAGCACGATTCAAGTCACAGAAGTATAAAATTGATCTGAGCACCATAGTGCTATCTTTCCTGGTGCAGTTTCCAAATGCCCTTTCCTGCTTCTGTGAATCTTTGTGAGTGCTGGTGTGTGTTCTCATGACACAAACTCACAAAAGTAGGCCATCACCTCTGATGTTTTTGATGAGTTCAGAGTTCTGACCTGAATTTATGAAGTGGGCAGTTTCAATGAAGAAAGACTACCAGAGATACAGCCAAAACCACTGGTGTGTGGAATTTAATTATCGGGGTGTGGGAATCTGGCTGATTTCTTTCCTCCTGCATGAGAAGTGCAATTACTCTATACCACCACCTGCCAGACGTTCACAGGGAAAATATTCAAGTTAAATTTTCTATTGTCAGCCTGGTTAGCAAACCCTTATAAAGCTCCAAGACCCATTAGCCAACTGTGAATACAAATTGTTTTCCGGTTCAGAAACGTCCATCCTTTCTCGGAGCCCAGGCTGACATCAAACGTGTCTAGACATTTTGTGGGTTAGAACTCCCTTCCTTCTGCTGGGTCTCCTACTGCACCCACCATAGGCTACTGCACCCATCAGAATGCCATCCATCTCAGTTTTACTGCCTGGTAAAAGCAGAGATTGCATTAAACCATGATTCCATGACAGACTGAGATAATACAATTTAGGGAGATTAAATGGACCTTAATTGTAGATGCCCAAGGTGTATACAGCAATGAGCAGTGTCAAAATGGATAGAAAATAATGGATGGCTGACCCCAGGCCATTTCTCAGGTGAACAGTTGATAGTCACTCCCACAACGTTCCAGTTATGTGCATTTCTTCCAATAACAGGGAGTTAAAAAGAACTCTTTCACTTCCCCCAAGCAAAGAACGGCAGGCCCCCCAATGCCAGGCATTCCACAGGAGGGAGCCTCCTTGCTTATCTTGGAGCAGCTCAACAATAAAGTAAATAGCATGCACTCATTATTCAAATGAAAGTTTAATTAATTCAGAACTTGTTCCCACACCTTCCTGGACAGCTTCTGATAATGAGCTCTCTGGGCTCTTCTTCCTCCAGCTTGTGATGTCATGCTAAATGGACTGCATCTAACAGCGTCTATGGGATGAAAATGCATGAGTGCAGGATGGTGGTTGACTCCGTGGTTTCAGAACCTGCTGAAATATCACAACCCTCCGTCCCAATTCCAGGGCCTCTTCCCCTCCTTCCTTGTTGGAGTGAAATTGATGGTTTTTATAAGAGTATCAGAGCTGCATGGGAAGAGACCCAGTCACAGGGAGCGTTTTCTTTAATTTGCATACTTGAAAATGACTCCAGCCCTTACTCCAGCCAAAGCATTTCATGAATGGCACAGCCAGTGATGCTGAATTGTCTGTAGTCCTCAACCTCACACATCACAGCATTGCTCTCTTGCCCCAAGGGTAGCCAGGAGTCATCCCCTTGTGAGAACTAGGGTGAGAAATAATGCCCCTGGGGTCAGAGGACAGAACTTGACCCCAAATCTTCCTCCAGCTCACACTGCCATTGCACGGATTCTACCTGCTTCATTTCCCCTCCTGTAAAATAAAGGACACCTGACCTACCTGCTGCATAAAGCACCTGAAGTGAGGTGAGTGACCACTGTGAACAGTTAGAAGCACATGGCGTGGTGAGTCCACATTCCCGACCCTCACCACATCCTCCCCTCCTCATGGTCATGAGCCTGGGACTGTGGAGTCCACAGAGAAGGCAGCGCCCAGCTCAACATGGCTGCAGCCTCACTGGGGAAGGTGGGGAGGGACTCTGAGAGCAGATGGTACAGAGGAAGAAACACTGATCATACGATAATTTTGCAATTGTGACTTAGTCCATAATACAATATCTTCTAGTTCTTCCTAAGTCCAAGTGCATCTGATGCATTGAATATATAATTGTCACAATGGGATCAAAACATAATGTTACTTGGTCTCTTCCTGCCCCTTTCAAATTTATGAATTGGCATTTCCCCCATCCCTGTATGAAAATTCTAGCAGATCCTATGGCTTTTCTGCTCACTGTTAAATAACGGCCTATCCCATGGTGTATTAATCTGTTCTTACATTGCTATAAAGAACAACGTGAAACTGGATAATTTATAAAGAAAAGAGGTTTAATTGGCTCACAGTTCCACAAGAAGCATGGCTGGGGAGGCCTCAGGAAACTTACAATCATGGCAGAAGGGCAAAGGGGAAACACATCTTCACATGGCGGCAGAAGAGAGAGTGAAGGGGGAGATGCTACACACTTTTAAAGAACCAGATCTCTTGAGAACTCTACCATGAGACAGCTGTAGGGGGATGGTGCTACACCATTAGAAACTGCATCCATGATCCAATTACCTCCCACCAAGCCCCACCTCCAACACTGGAAGATTACAGGTCAACATGAAATTGGGTGAGGGCACAGAGAGAAACCATATTACTTGGTTAAGTATGTCCGTGAATCCAGTTAATATTGTCATCAAAATATTCTCTCCAAGATAGAGATCAATCCTCCTGCAATTCTTCCCTCCTCTGTCCCTGAAACACCCCAAGCCCATGCCCCTCCAAGCTGACACTCTTCATATGGCTGACACTCTTCACCTCCTTGCAGTTCACGTCCCACAGTGAGGCTTCCCCTGGTCTCCTAGATCAAAGTCCCTATTCCAGTCACTCTCTACACTATCATCCCATGTTATTTTACTATGAGCAGCCATTGGTATTGAAATCATTTTACACTATGGCCTTGTTTACAGATGATCTCCCTCCACTAGGGTGCCCTACCTGAGGGCAAGAATTTTCCTCTCCTGTTCACTGCAGTAGCTTTTGTCTTCTTTCCTCAAAGCTACCACGCTGCCTCTCCTTCTCAGCTAGCAGCTATACCTGCACATGGTAAATGTTTAATATAGCTGTTAGCTCCCCTTCTCAGCTAGCAGCTATACCCTGCACATGGTAGATGTTTAATTAATAAATAAAGGATTTGAAAGTTAGTATCATAAGGAAAAAACTGGGTTTTCAAGAAAAAGCTGAACATACATTTCTGGTCACTGTCCTCTAACCAGAGTGAGAGCGAGAAGGAGAGTGAGAGAGAGAGAGAGAGAGACAGAATGAACCCGTCTAAGAACAAAAGGTACAGAGGAGGAGGCCCATCAATATCTTTCCATGACAATAGGCAGGATAGTCTGGCTCCTAAGAACCAGGCCTGTGAGAGGTGACACATTGGGGCAGATGCAGAGACAAAGACAGCTGGAAGTTCGCTAGGAACACCCAGGACATCCAAGTGTTTTCCGTCATAGACTGAAACTTGAGACTGATCTGGCCAGTAATCTGGATTGGCTGACTACTTTGTCACTCTTCATCCAGTTGCCATGGACTACATCTTTGTTTCCCCTAAACTTCATATGTTGAGATCCTAACCTCAATGTGATGGTATTAGGAGGTTGGATCTTGGGAGGTGATTAGGTTTAGAGGAGGCCCCCAGGGTAGAGTTGTCATGATGAGATTAGTGTCCTCATAAGAAGAGACAGGAAAGAGTTTTCTTCTTTTCTTTCTTCACCATGTGAAGATACAGCTAGAAAACAGCCATCTGCATGCCAGAAAGAGTGCCCTCCCTAGACACCAGATCTGTCAGCACCTTAATCTTGGATTTCCCAGCCTCCAGAACTGTGAAAAGTAAATGCCTGTTGTTTAAGTCACCCAGTCTGGGTATTCCATTCCAGCAGCCCAAGTAGACTAAGATACCAATGTTTGTGATATTGCAGCTTCTCAGCTGTGGCTCCTTTTAGTACGTCACTAAGATGGTGCAAAAGCAAAAGACTGTAGCCTTAACAAAACCAATGAATAATGACAACCAATTTCCTCTCACACTGAGGATTTATTGAGCATCCCCTGTGATCCAGGAGCTGTTGTTAAAAATGAAAATAGAGCAGAAAACAGAAGAGCAGAACCCCTGCCCTCATGGAGCTGACACATGGAAAATGAGATAACAAGTAAGCGGTCATATAGAAATCTGGGGGCCTAGAAAGCAGGAGGAGGATAGAAACTCTGTGGGGTATCATTATCAATAGGATGGGCAAGAGACCTTACTGAGAAGGGGACAGCATAGCAAGGAGCTGAAGGAGGTGAGGAAGGATGCATGCAGGTTCCTGTAGGAAACAGGTTCAGGCAAAAGAGGACAGCTGGGGAGAGGCCCTGAGCAAGGAGCTTGTGGGACATAGTCAAGGATGAGCTGGGAGAGGGGAGAATGGCTGGAGCTATGTCCCCAGAAGGCAAGAGCAGATGGGACTTAGTGCAGCCAGGAGGGGCTGCCTTAGGTGGTCTGTCCGTAACATAGGAAGGAGGGCAGATTTTAATGCCATAGACCCAGACTGCATTGGGAGGACAGGTTGTTGAAGGTTTCTTCTGCTTGCTTTTATTTCCTTTGTGAAATTGGAAGCTTGGACATCAGCTGATCATGAGAATGGGAGGAAGAGTGTTGTAGGTGTGAGGATAAAAGGCCAAAGTACACGTGTTAGTCATTTTAACACTGCTATAAGGAAATACACCAGACTGGGCAATTTGTAAAGGGAAGAGGTTTAACTGACTCACAGTTCCACATGGCTGGGGAGGCTTCATGAAACCTTCTTCAAGGCAGGCACTTTCTTCACAAGGCGACAGGAGAGAGAAGAGCAAAGGAGGAACTTCCAAACACTTATGAAACCATGAGATCTCGTGAGAACTCACTCGCTATGGCGGAAAAGCATGGAGGAAACTGCCCCCAGGATCCAATCACCTCCCACTGGGTCCCTCCCTTGATACGCGGGAATTATGGGGATTACAATTCGAGATGAGATTTGGGTGGGGACACAGAGCCAAACCATATCGGTATGGAATAGTCACCAGGAAAGCGGGTGAGTGGATCGTCAGGCCGCACAAGAACCCACCTGGCTGTCAGTGAGAACAGTCAGCAAGGATGGACGTTGCCAGGTCAGCAGCAGGATGTGGGTGCCCAAGAGTGAAGAGCTCAATTCTATCAGGGTGGGTGTTTTGCCAGGAAATAGGATGGTCACTATGGCAGTTGTCCAGGGAGTGTTACAAAGGGCTGAGGCAGGCTAGATGGGAATTCTAGCAACCTAGAGAAGGCTTTGGAGCAATGAGAACTCAGCTTCAGTCAGTTAGTTGCTGCACAAATAAATGAAAGCATGAATGTGTTAGCTACGGTATGAACGTGAGACAAGGGTCAATAATTTTTCCGATTTTTTATTGTTTTCTATAACATTTAGATTTTATGAGAAATCTTTTCTAGCAAATAATTCCCTATTTCAAAGCAAAAAGCATAATTTCATTAAACATGAAAAAAATCACATGACCCCCAAAGCTACTTAAAACCATGCCCCAGCATGGATTTTTAAAAATTCCAGTTTGTTTGTTTTTGGTTTTGGTTTTGGGGTTGTTTGTTTTTGTTTTTTGGTGGAGTCCCACTCTGTTTTCCAGGCTGGAATGCAGTGGCACAATCTTTGTTCATGGCAACCTCCACCTCCAGGGCTAAAGCGATTCTTGCGCCTGAGCTTCCCAAGTAGGGGGATTACAGGTGCACATAACCATGCCTGGCTAATTTTTGTATTTTTGGTAGAGATGAGTTTCACCATGTTTCCCAGGCTGGTCTCAAACTCCTGGCCTCAAGTGATCTGCCCTCCTTGGCCTCCCAAAATGTTGGGATTACAGGTGCGAGCCACCATGCCCAGCCTCCAGTTTTGTTTTTTTTTAATGAATCAAATATAAAATCAGTTCCAAGAGCTGACAAATGACTTGCCAAAAATGGAAACTTGATGAATTCAATGATATTGATGCAAAAATTGTACAGTCAAAATTAACAAAGAAAACCCACTAGCATGTTTTTGAAAATCACAGAATGGCTCATTGGGATTTATTCTTCAAATGCGGAGTGGTTGAATATTTTAAAATGCATTAATGTATTGCAAACCTTATATTAAAAGAGCTAAGGAGAAAAATCATTAGATTATGCCCACAAATGCATTGCATTTAATGAAATTCTACACATGTATTAAAAAATGGATTGATGCATACTTTTTATGTGTATATGGATATGTATACACACACACACGTACACACAGACACACACACACGTATCTCAGCTGAACACCAGCACTTTACTTAATGGAAATCCTAGAATCTCTGCATTGCCCAATCTCCCCATTACTATTTGATTTGGGATTGTGTTGGAAGTCAATGTAATTAAAAAAGAGAATATAAATGGGGAATAAAAATTGAAAAGGTAGAGATGAAACTATTCTTATATCTACCTCTAGAGATAAAATTACAAATAAAAAATATTTGTAGATGATGTAACTACATACCTAGAAAATCCCAAAGAATGAAAAAACTACAAATATGAAGAGAAGTTGGGGAATTAGCATGTAAAATGTCAATATAAAAACTTAATAAACTTCCCATATACAATCAAAAGGAGTCAGATGACATAATAGAAGAGTAATTAATGATAATAGAACACCTAGGTGAAAATATTAGCAAAATTTGTCCACAATTATATGAAGAAAGTTGTTAAACGATCCTGGTAAATATGAAAGTAGACTCAAAAAAATGGAAAAATATCCTGTTCTTGTATGAAAAAAAATGCAGCCTCAGAAAAATGTCATGTCTTCATAATTTAATTTATAAATGTAATATGATTCCAATAAAAATAATTTTCCCTGAAGCTAAAACATCTTAATTTTAGAAATTTAATTTGGAAAGATAAGCAAGTATCTCCAAAAATGCCAGGTAGTGGGAAGGATATCAGTAGATCCAAGCCTCTGACATTAAACAGAGTGTATGACTGTTTAGACTGGTAGACCAATGGAGTAGACTAAATGGTTTTATTATATTTATTCATTTATTTATTTATTTTGAGATGGAGTCTTGCTCTGTCACCCAGGCTGGAGTGCAGTGGCGAGATCTCAGCTCATTGCAGCCTCCACCTCCCCAGTTCCAGCGATTCTCCTGCCTCATCCTCTGCGGTAGCTGAGATTACAGGCATGCTCCACCACGCCCGGCTAATTTTTGTATTTTTAGTAGAGACAGGGTTTCACCAATGTTGGCCAGGCTGCTCTTGAACTCCGGACCTCAAGTGATCTGCCTGCGTCAGCCTCCCAAAGTGCTGGGATTACAGGCGTGAGCCACTGTGCCCAGCCGACTAAATGGTTTTGGAGTAACTGGTGAGCAATATGGGAAGGTTACAAAACCTAAATCTGCTATACCAAGATGCATTCCAAACAGGTAAGATGTTTTCTTAAAGGAATAAACACAAAAAGGAAAGAAAGACGGCAAGAATACAACTATGTGGATATTAGAGCAAAACATGGATGAATTCCTTTACAACTTAAGAAAAGGTAAAAGTTCCTCAATATGACTCAAAATCACAGAAAAATGGGCAAGAGATATGAACAATAATTTTGCCAAAAATAAATGCAAATGGATAATAAACATATAAGATGTTTATCCTCACCCATAATAATATATAAATTAAACCTGCATAAAGTATCATTTCTTGCTCATTAAATTGGCAAAATCCAAAAGTTTAACAGCATGTCCTGTTGGCCAGGCTGTGGGGAAGCCGGTGCTCTCACACATTGCCCATAGGAATGCAAAATATTAAAGGAAGGAGGAGGAAAAGAAGACACTTATGAGGCAATTGGGGAAATTTGAACACAGACTGGATGTTTGAGGATAGTGTTAAATTTTAATCAGTTTACGGTATTATGACAATATTAAAAATGAGGTTTAATTTGTTTTGTTTTGTTTTGAGACAGAGTCTCGCTCTGTTGCCAGGCTGGTGTGCAGTGGTGCGATCTTGGCTCACTGCAACCTCTGCCTCCCGGGTTCAAGCAATTCTCCTGCCTCAGCCTCCCAAGTACCTGGGACTTCAGACGTGTGCCACCACACCCAGCTAATTTTTGTATTTTTAGTGGAGACAGGGTTTCACTATGTTAGCCAGGATGGTCTCCATCTCTTGACCTCGTGATCCACCTGCCTTGGCCTTCCAAAGTGCTTGGATTACAGGCATAAGCCACCATGCCTGGCCGGGTCTTTTTTTTTTTTTTTTTTTTAGAAATGCACACAAAATTATAAGACGTCTGCATTTTGCTTTGATATAATAATCCAAGAGGAAGGTGGGTAGCGGGTAGAAATAGGGTTGAAATAAAACCGGCTGTGTGTTCATAACTGTAGAGTCTGGAGTATGGGAATGTGGAATTTCACCATACTAGTCTTTCTGCTTTATGTGAGTTGGAAACATCCCGAAGAAAGAAAGGGGAAAATGATGATTCCAAAAAATGCATTCAGCTCATGAAAATGGATTTGCAGCCCTGATTTGAGTTAATCCCCTCCTATTACAGTTGTGAAACCAAAGTTCAGAGAGCATCATGACCAGTGCAACGTCGCAAAGCAAACCAGCAGCAGCACCCAGACCAGGAACATTTCAGCTCCCTCCATCCTGCAAAGAGGGGAGGTTGTCACTGAGCCCCACGGATGGGTTCAGCACGTCTTCACGGCCAGGGAGGACCCTGGGACCGCTGAATAAAATGCTCATTAGTATCATTCTGGTTATTTACTGACAGATACCACAGTCAGAGAAAAACACCGCAATTGCTCTTGTGCTTATCATTAAATGCCTCCTTATGGAAAAATGCTCCTGAGCGGGGCCATAGGGTGAAAAACCATTTACACAGCATTCAATCCCGTGAGCTAAAAATGAGACTGGTAGAATCTGAATTAAGTGAGAAAAAAAAAGTACATTTTTCTCCTGCCAAGGTTACATGTTTCAAGAGCAACTGGAGGAAAAAAATGTTCCCAAATCTAAATATTAGAGGAAAATATTTGCCTCCCGGTACATGCTGGCCATGTAGCAGTGGACATGCGGTGGAGAAAACACTCACTCACAGGGCACCAACCCCATCATGGCCAGGGGCTTCCTGGGATCCCTGCCCGCTAAGGGTCCTCAGAAGCCTGAGTTTCCCTCCCTCACCCAGAGCTGTGTGGTGCCTTCCAGGTGCCTGTCTGCAGTGCCAGCTGCCTCTGGGCTGGCAAAGACTCAACTTCTGAACTCACCTATTGGGGGTGGGGAAAGGGAGGCAAAAGGGATGACCCCTCCGAAAGTGCCACAGTGTCTGCCTGGGACCTGCCCGTGCTGCACTGAATAAACAGGAGGAAGCCGCTCTCTGAAGCTGATGCCATTCATTCTTTAGGAAATGTGAGTGGGAACCACAGGAGGCCAGGGATGCAGTGAACGGTCTGAAAGGTATCAGAGATGATGGCTTCTCTCCCGACCCACGCTCCCAAACAATAACCACAGTCCCTGGGCCAAGGAGTTTGGGAGAATTCACCAAGAGGCCTGATCCTCTCCCCAGCATCCTCAGTCCTGTTTCCTCGTGGCCACCCTCAACCACAGATGGGACTCTGGATCCGCAGCTCTGGGATTAGTCCTGGCTCGGCCTCCAAGCACCCCTGGGCGTGTTCTCTGACTCTGGCCTCAACTCCCTCGTATGCAGGCTGAGGATAATAGTGGCCTCTTCCTGCGTGGGATGGGTCCTTAGGGAAGTGGATGCTGAAACAAGGTTGGAGGAGTAAGAGTTCCCTGAGGGGAAAGCCTGTGAAGGGGAGGAAGCAGGGTCGCGCTGTGAGAGCTCAGACCACGGGCAGATCTGGAAAGACTCCAGAGGCCACATACTTGATGCGGGAGGTTGAGCTCTTGCCTGAGGGGACATCCAAGCAGCACACCTTCAGGACCACTGCAACTTCCACCGAGCCAGCCCCAGCCCCAGGCAGGAGCAACAAGCAGCTCCCTCGAGAGATGGGCTGGTCTCTGAGGCAGTCAGGGAGCTTTGGGGATTTTCTTTTTTTCTTTTTTTTTTTTTTTTGAGACAGGATCTCCTTCTGTTGCCCAGGCTGGGGTGCAGTGGTGCAGTGGTGCGATCATGGCTCACTGTAGTCTAAAACTCCTGGGCTCAAGCGATCCTCCCGCCTCAGCCTCCTGAGTTGGTTGGTCTACAAGTGCACGCCACCATCCCTGGCTAATTTTTTAAATTTTTAGTAGAAACGAGGTCTCACTATGTTGCCCAGGCTACTCTCAAACTCCTGGGCTCAAGCAATCCTCTCGCCTCAGCTTCCCAGAGCTCTGGGATTACAGATGTGAGCACCACCACATCCAGCCTTTTTTTGTTGTTTTTAGGAGACGAGTCTCTCTGCATTGCCCAGGCTGAAGCACGCTAGCTATTCACAGGCAGAATCACAGCTATCAGCTCACTGCATCCTTGAGCTCCTGGGTTCAAGTGATCCTCTCAGCTCAGCCTCCCAAGTAGCTGGGATTACAGATACATACCACCGCGCCAGGCTATGGAGGCCCCAACCGTGCAGTTGATCTCAAGGCCACCTCTGCTGTTCATGGTTTCCTTGCCAATGTCCATTCCAGATTCTCCCACCAACCCTCCCCTCCCCTGGTCCTGGTGGCTCACATGCTAGTAGGACCAAACCTCCCTCCCTGGGGCCCTCAAGCCCTGGTGGCCATGCCCTCCAGAGGCTGGAGTGCCGCCCATGTCCACTCACAGTCACAATGGGGCAAGAGGCACCCATGGGGGTTACCTGAGCTCCACGCTCATTCCTCCTTCCCTTCATGTGTGACCATAGTTTTAGGTGCCCTGGATAAATGGCCACATGACTCCCTTGCTGCTGGTCCTCACATGCAGGAGTCCAGGAGCCCAGGCAGTGGCCATAGCTTGCACTTTAACAAGACCCTTTCTCTGTCCCCCAGAAAGCAGGCACCCCACATTCAGCCATAACCTCCAGCACACAGAGCCCAGAGTTGTGACTATGTCAACACAAACTCCCCCTGAGGACCTGGGGACTATGGGAAGTGGGGCCACTCCTGCTTCTGCACCTTGAGTCCTGGTCCTGTGTGGTCTTCCTGTTGGGGACACAGCACCACATAGAGGTCTGATTCTCCCTAGGTTGGGGGGCAGCATCCCCTTCTCACAGAAGCTGTTATGGAGCTGGTGTTTCAGCAGCATGTTTCCACGCCACTCCCCTGCACTGTCAGGCAGGCAGCTCCGTAAGGTCCAGCACATGAGATGACCAACGTGCATCATGCTCCAGCCCACACCAGCACCTCCTTCCTGTGCAGTGGCTCCCCTGATGCTATGCTGCGTGGGATTCAACGCCTGTGCATTAGTCACCCCAGAACCCCCTGGGGAGAGGTGCTGGCTGGGACCTTGCAGCCAAGAGCGGGAAACCCCTTCCAGCACAGGTGCACGTTTCAGTGGGAACAAGCTCCTGGCCCTTCCAGTACAGAAGGGCCCCAGGAAGCCTGGCTGGCCTCGAGAGATGGGCTGGTCTCTGAGGCAGTCAGTGATGTGCCCTCTGAGGTCCCTCTCCTAGAGGGAGCCCACCCCACAGAGTGCAGAGAGCTGACAGCCTCTAGCTGTGGGCACCTCAGGCTCGGCCTCAGCATCTGAGCCAAGGACATGCTTTTCCTGGGATGCTCCCAGCCAGTGAGCACCGCGGGGGTACAACAGCTCCACATTGCTGGTGTGAGGCTCCTCCATGGCCATCCTTGCATGGGAGCTCCCCCGTGGGTGGGCTGAGGCCTTCTCCAAGCTGCCCTATGATCTGGGCTCCTTCTTTGCTAAACCCTTTCCTTCCTCCTCATTTTCACAGGTGCCAGACATGCATCATCGTCCGAGGGCTCCCCTTGCCTTCCTCTGCACCCTCTCTCCCCTTCCCTGAGTGGGCATCTCCTGTACTTCCAGCTCCACCCTGGTGTCTGCTTCCCAGAGACCCTGCACTGGCACAGCCTCCACGAGGACATTGCCATCACAGGGCACAGCATTGCTCTTGCAGCTGGCAGGCTGGACACTCAGAGGTGGCTGCTGCTGAACCAGGCTTGAGCAGTGAAGTCCACACTGCTGGGGCTGTGTCTCCTCAGTCTCTGCTGCCATGGCCCCTCTGGGCATGTGATCATTGCTCCAGTTTGGGTTGGCCAATGACAGATCAGCTAACGTCAATGGGCTGGGCCTCCTTGTCTACTCATTGTTGAATGCCTTGCCTGTGATGGATGTGTCTGGGTGAGTGCTAACACATTAACATTCAACGGAAGGATTTTCACTTTGTGTCCAATCTCAGGTGATCATCCAGTGTTTCATCCCCAGAACTCCTTGTCCTCAATCTCTCAGATCCATGATTAGCCCACCAGGCCACCCATTACTGCCCATGAGATCATATAAATTCTCACTTCAAGCCACATCCCCTTCCACACAAAGTGGTTGTACAGGGCTCTATTCAAGGTTCTGCCCAGTGTAAAGATCTTTCCTCTCCACTGCCTTTCAAGGCCACGCCTGGGTATGGCTATGATACAGCAGCTGACCATTTTGGTCTCACATCCACATGTTGGTGGGTTCATCTTTAGACTAAGCTCCAGTGTGTTCCCCCTCCTCCAGGTGTCAGAGACCCTCAATATGGCCACAGGTATGTACTGAGGGATGGTGGGTTGCAACAGTTGTGGGCAACATGGGGTCATCCGGCCACAGGTGTACACTGAGGGATGATGGGTTCAACAGTGGTGGGTAACCTGGGGCCTGGATTCTGCCCATGCAGCTTCCTCGTGCCCTCTGATCCTGCTCAGGCTCAGGGCTGGACTTACCATTTCCGTCTTCCAGTGGACCATACTCAGCTGACCTAACGTTATGACTTGGAGGATCCTAAAGAATCCAGCTCATGAAAGACGGTTCCAGAGGCACAATCACTGGTCACTCAGTACCTCACCCACATCAAGGTTTCCATTTCTGCCAGGGCCCAACGGCATGCCAGAGATGCTCCTCAAAAGACATTAAATTCTCTGCTGCAAGCTTTTTTCCATGCTATGGTACCCTCTCAGCAGGGTTGCGAGGATGAACTGGGACACTGGGTGTGATGTTGCATCACGAAGCTAAATACAGACGAGGAAGGCTTGTATGAAGGGGGTCCCTCCCAGCAGAACTCAGAATACAGCATTTGGACACATCTTGGCAGATCACAGTGATGGCTGGAAAAACATCCTCCAGGAACATACCTGGATCAATTGTCTGTGATTTTTAACAGCTGGGGATCTGAAGGGGAAATGCACGTAAAGGGAGGGCTTGGGGAGAAGAGAAAGCAGCCAACAGGGAGATGGACAAACTTCCAGCACCTTCCCCAGAAGGGAAATTTGCAGGGGCTGGCTCACCATTCCACAGCTCCTTTCACCTCCCTCTCCACTTCTGCATCCACTTTAATCCATGATTTATGAATGGAATTAATAGAAACCAATCAGGCATGGCTATGCCTACAGCGCTTTGTTCAACAACACATGTTTCCCATAGTAATTATGTTAGAATAATCACAACACAGAAAAAAAAAATGCCTGGTCATCAGTACTGAATCACGAGTGCTAACAAGACTGATGGTTTTACCAATAAAACTGCCAGCAAAGGAAGCTGGGAGAAAAGACACACAGGCCTAGGGCTGGCCCTGCTTGTCGGCATGTTTTGCAATCATCATTCCAACTTTCAGTGGCTCCATTTCCTCTACTGAGAAAAAGAGGAATTTCTCTAGTTCACTGTTTCAGTTGGTTCTGCAAGACACAGATGTCCTGGGGGAACTGGCCTGGGAAAGAGGGGAGGCATTTCTCATTGTAAACAGTCCACCATTCCCTGAAGTTATTGGCTGTATAATAGAGTTTGTTCGTTTCTTTGTCTGATGCTGTCCTGATCCACTTTTGAGGCTTCTGGCAAAAGGCAGGGGCAGTTCCCCTTCTTCAGTATCTGATTAAGTCCATGTCCCCCACCACTTCCCTTATGGGTTTCCACACTCCAAGCCACTATGCATCTCCCTTAGTGCTCTAGGGCTGGGTATCAAACAACTAGAGACAGCTCTGAGCCCAAGAGCCCAAGAAAGTCCTCAAATTGCCAGTCCACAGGGAGCCCTGGAAACTTAACCAAGCCACTGCACTCGCCACACATTATGTGCCCTGCAACCTTCACTGCCCATGATGCAGCCCTCACTGCCCATGACGCAGCCTTCCCTGACCATGACGCAGCCTTCCCTGACCATGACGCAGCCTTTCCTGACCATGACGCAGCCTTCCCTGATCATGACGCAGCCTTCCCTGACCATGACGCAGCCTTCACTGCCCATGCTGCAGCCTTCCCTGACCATGACACAGCCCTCACTGCCCGTGACGCAGCCCTCACTGCCCATGACACAGCCTTCCCTGACCATGACGCAGCCCTCACTGCCCATGACGCAGCCTTCCCTGACCATGATGCAGCCTTCACCCACAACGCAGCCGTCTGCATAGTCCCGCCTGGAAGTTCCCTCTCTTTTGGAACTGTAAGCAACAGAGTTCTGCCTTTTATCTTTCTGTCACTGTGTTCTGTCTCACCAAAAACAGGACCTTTGAATCTTATAAAACAACTGCCAGAACTTGGGCTCTAGAAGAGGTGGATCTGCGCCCGACCAGTCTTTCGTTGCTCCCCTACTGTTTAGCTGTTCTGTTCCTCACTGCAATTCCTAGTTTTCTCTTGTATCACTCATGCAGCATTGGAACAGCCTAGTGAGTACTCCTGACTCAGACATCCCTGGGCTCAGGTTCTTACCCTCCAATGCTTGTACCTGCATTCTGTGCTCCTCCCTCCCCTCCTCCAAGAAGGGAGTTAAGCATTGCATCTCCTTCAAAGGCTGCTATGAGAGAAAGTCCAGACCACCAAGGACACTCACTAAGACAGACACCGCACACACACATGCACACAAATGCACACAGGCATCCCCACGTACTGGAAACAGGAGACAGAAGCCAAAGCTTCCATCAGGTGGTCTTAGCAGGCAAAGGAGGGCAAACTGAGTTCTCAGGCCCCACGTTCTTGACAGCAATCAACTTGGGCCCTTTGGTGTCATGTTCAAAGAAAGCTACATGACCAGTGACAGCCAAGCTGTCACCATTGTGCAAAGCAGATCCTCAACACACCACTGAAAACTTCTGACCACATTTCTTTACTGCACTGGGAATGATGTTCCCAAATCTTGTAGGCATCTTGTGAGTTATGCATTATACCTTCTGCAACTTAAAGGCATTTACATCTTCAAATGTGAACATTTAAACTATATCACATATTTGGAAACTACATGTTGGCTTTATTTATTCATTTATATTAAGTAAAAAAAAAATGGGAAAAAATGAAGTGGTCTGTTCCTCTCTTTAAATCAGAAAAGCCCTGCTGAGGCCCAAATAGGCCAGAACGCTGGTGGATGACCTGCAAAAAGTGCCTGTGATGTACTGAATTTTGAAACTTCGAGCTGAATTCTGTGGTCGCGTACATGTTTTGGCGAGAGGGTCTGCTAATTGAATTAAATTATTATAAATAGAGGGAAAGGGCAGAACAGGGAAAGTGAAAAGGGGAAGGATGGGGCGGGCGAGGAATAGGCGCAGGGGGTCTAGGACAGGTGCATCCCCAGGTGCGCGCCCCGCCCCTGCAGGACGCGGTGGCACCGCGGTGCGTTCCCAGCCTCCGGCGCTAGAGCGCGCGTCCCTGGCAAGACTCGCAACGCTGGCCCAGCCTCCAAGAGGGACCGGCAGGGGGCGCTCTGCACAGGGACCGGCGGGAGCTGAACCTGTGTGAGAGGCGCGGGGCCACCTGTGCAGGTGCAGGTGGAGCCACTCTGCCAACCCCTGGGGCAGTGGGCGAGGCTGGAGGGAGGATTGCTCTGTGCACAGGGGGAAGACATCTCACCTCTTACAAATCCTGAGGGTACTTTTGCTTTTTTTAAGGCAGTTTGGGAGGCAGTGTTGCAAAGGGTCCAGTAATCGTTGCAAAATCATTTCTCAGGATGTCTTAGAGACAGGAATCCCTGAATTTGAATCTCAGCTCTGCCCTTCACTGTGCAATCCTGGACAAGGGAATTCACGCTCTGAACCTCAGTTCCCTCCACCCCTAAAATGGGGATAATGAGTGCGCCTAAGTCATAGGGTTGGAGTGAGGATTAAATGAGATTCTGCACCTGCAGGTAGCACACAGAGTGCCTGGTAGAGACATGGTGAGCACCCACGCAGGGCTCTGTGAACAAATTTTGCACTTTTCATTAAACCAAATAATAGCTTTGCACAGCTAATCAGCCTAAACTTTACTCTGTTATTTGTTGGCAATTAGATCTGGCTGTTGATCCAATTACCCAAGTCTAGAATTAGATTCTAACCCTGAGCTAAGAAAAGCTGTTTTCAGCTGCTCCAACAACCCACCTGGTAGTAAAGGGACTTTCTGTGATCAGAGGGTTTCTCCTAGTTGGCCACAAGAACATCATGACCTAAAGCTACAGGTAGCAAAGGAAATTGTACTTTTCTCCCAAGCCCTAAGTAATTACAGTATGTCATTGCAGCCTGGCATTTACCTAACTGAATGAAACGATGTGCTGATTCCTGATCCAGCCAAAAGCTTAACTGTCATTTAAATAGGGCATGATATTTAAAATATTAATTTTGTTTTCTTCCAGCATCTTATAACTCCAAAGTATCATTTGGAATATATTTGTGTATATAAAGAATTCATCATTATTGTTTCTCTGTGGCTGAAATGACTGTTGGTTTGACTTCTGGACTTAAGTTGAGCCTCTAGTCATTGGGAAAGAGATGATATAATGAGTTTCTGCATGAAAGCCTGTTCAGTGTTAGAGAAAGATACAACGTAGAGAACCAAAGGTTAACCGCACAAGTGGGAATACCACATCCATCACTTATGATGCATTCTCCATTTCAGTGAGGCTTAATGACAACCACCCTTCCTGCTGCCAAGTCCATCAATAGATTAAAAGTCACTTCAGAATTCCCCAAAGTTCAACACCAATCACAGAAGGAATGCTGGAAATTATTACCTGCCTGCAAAATTCTAGTGCTGGAATGACTATACGATTTATCTAGGGTAGTGTTCTCCAAAGAGTTTTTATTGTGCACCTTTATCCCTATGTGTTTAGACACACGTCCACAAAATAACAATTATTACAGTAGCTGTTATCCTGCCTACCAAATATTTTCAGGTTACTGTTTGACCAAGAACATGATAGGATTATCACTCTCAACCGCTTCTCTTTTGGTGGGTCAGATGACAGGCCCTGTGATTCCAATGGGCTATGAGCAGAAGAAGTGGGTGTGGTTGGGAAGGGAAATCCATGGGGGACAGGGGAAAACCCAGCTGTTCATGTCACCTGTACTCTGTTCAGCAAGATCCAAGCCAACCCTTGCATGACCTGAAGCCCCTGCCTGGACTTTCCTGATGTCATCACCCACTACTGACCCTGGGTGGTCTTGTCAGACCTCCAATGCATCAGCCATGCTCCCCACTTAAGTTTCACTATTCCTCTTCAGTCTCTGGAGCACTCCCTTCCCCCAAATATCCCCTGCCCTTCCCACCCACTCCTTTTAGGTCCATGCTTGGATGTCAGCTTGTCAGTGGGCTTTGCTGACTATTCCCTTTTCAACTTTTGTCTCTGCCACCAACCACACTGTGCATCTCTCCTGCTTTATTTTTCTCCATAGCTCTTTACCCCACATGACCGACTCTGTATTTACTGATGTGCTTGTTTACTGCCTGTCTCCTCTTTCAAAAACATAAGTTCTGTTTATCGTCTCTCTCCAATGCCTAAAACAAAGACCATCATATATTAGGTGCCCAATAAATATTTGTTGGAACAAAGAATGAATAAACATCGAACATACAAACTCCACACACATGCCAGCTTGATGACTTGGCCTCCCTTTCTCCATCCAAACTTGTTTTTGGAGACTTGGGATTTAATGCGCATGTTTTCAAGAGAAACCAGTGTACTGGATTTTTCACATGTAAAGCCTGACTTTTCAAATATTAGCCATTAATCCTAAAGTTTATGAATAAATGCCACAAGGGTCAAATAAAGTCTGTGCAGACTGAATCTGACCCCACCATTTCCCCTTCCACATCCCATCTCAGAGCCCATCTCAGAGAAATTCTTCCATAAACAGGATTGTTCATGGTGATCACAATGACAGCTCACAGGGTCTTGTCCTCTGCAGGGGTCCTGACCTACACATGAGACATCTTCTGAGCTGGTTTCACCTCTGTGCGGCATTACAAAGAGATGTCACCTCTTTGAACTTCCATTATCTCATCTCTGAACAGGGATGGTGATCCCAGTTTGCAGATGATTGTTAAGACTGCCAAAACTAAAATTGCAAATTGCTCATGTCTGTTATAATGACTGATAGATGAGGTTTGTATGGCTTATTATTTTTGCATCTTAGTACCAATCTTAGCTCCCTAAGCATTAATTGACAATGGGGTATCAATCTATTGGTAGGTGTTTTCTGTGCACAGATCTTACCCTTGGGCCATGCACTATTGTCAGCCATTTATCATATAGAATAGAAAGAGAACCAAGCCAGGAGTCTGGGCACATGGATTTTCATCTCCAGTCCACCATCCTGTGTGTCAGGTGCATCTAGGAGCTTAGGACACAGCCATGACTGAGACAGGTATTCCAGAGGCTGATATTCCATAAAGGGGACACTGAGAAAAACATGTAAAGCAGGAAATGGAATGGTGCCTGAGATGAGTGCCCTGAAGAAAAGTAGACCAGAGAAGGGAGACAAGGAGTGCTAGGGGTATGAGGAATGACACTGTGGCCAAGGGAAGAGCAATGAGCTCCAGGAGGTGAGGGAGGAGCCAGGCACTACCTCTGGGAGGTGAGAGAGGAGCCATGGAAGTACCTCTGGGAAGTGAGGGAGGAGCCAGGCGCTCCCTCTGGGGGGTGAGGGAGGAGCCAGGCGCTCCCTCTGGGGGGGTGAGGGAGGAGCCAGGTGCTCCCTCTGGGGGGTGAGGGAGGAGCCAGGTGCTCCCACTGGGGGGTGAGAGAGGAGCCATGGAAGTACCTCTGGGAGGTGAGAGAGAAGCCAGGCGCTACCTCTGGGGGGTGAGGGAGGAGCCAGGCGCTCCCTCTGGGGGGGTGAGGGAGGAGCCAGGTGCTCCCTCTGGGGGGTGAGGGAGGAGCCAGGTGCTCCCTCTGGGGGGTGAGAGAGGAGCCATGGAAGTACCTCTGGGAGGTGAGAGAGAAGCCAGGCGCTACCTCTGGGGGGTGAGGGAGGAGCCAGGCGCTACCTCTGGGAAGTGAGGGAGGAGCCAGGCGCTACCTCTGGGGGGTGAGGGAGGAGCCAGGAGCTACCTCTGGGAGGTGAAGGAGGAGCCAGGCGCTACCTCTGGGAGGTGAGAGAGAAGCCATGGAAGTACCTCTGGGAGGTAAGAGAGGAGCCAGGCGCTACCTCTGGGAGGTGAGGGAGAAGCCAGGCACTACCTCTGGGAGGTGAGACAGAAGCCAGGTGCTACCTCTGGGAGGTAAGGGAGAAGCCAGGCGCTACCTCTGGGAGGTGAGAGAGGGAGACATGCATTACCTCCAGGAGGAGAGGGAGGGAGACATGCAGTTACCTGAGGATATAATGTTGAAGGCAGAAGGAACAAGAAGTGCAAAGGCCCTGAGACAGGAGAGTGTGAGGTTTGAGGAACGTATGGTAGTCAGTGGCTGGAGCAGACCAAGTGAGAAGGAGCAAGTGAGGTCAGAGTAAGGAAGAAGGAATATCACGGACATCTTTATGGGTCATGGTGAGAACTTTGTCTTTTACTCTGAGTGAAACGGGAGTGTATATGGTTAGGAGCAAATGTGATCTGACTTAGGTTTTAACAGACTCATTACTGCAACGTTGAAAACAGATTGAGAAGAAAAGGAGGAGGAGAGGAGACCCCAAACTACACCATACACTGATGTTAAAGTTCATGATGTATTATTCTCTGGACCTGTTTCCTTTTCAACAACATTGAGTGGGGAGCCTCTGTCCCACCCACATCCTGAGACTGATGTGAGTATAACATGCTCCATTGTAAAAGCCAGTTCTTCCCATCATTTTATGCTACGAGGATTCAAGTCCTGGTGCTACCACATGCTAGTTAGGGACCCTGGACCAATTATGTGGCCTCTCTGTGCCTCAGTAAGATGGGGATACTAATAGCTTCCATTCCAAAAGGCTTCTGTGAGAATTGAACAACATAATCCTTATCTAGTATATAGAACAGCGTGATCCAGCATAGGACCCCAGTGAATATTGTCAGCCATACCAGTAGCTTTTGCTCTGGCAACAAATAACACCAGATCTCAATTGCTTGTGCTAACATTAACATTCCCTTCTCTGGGGATCAGCTGTGGGTCAGCTGTGGGTTGTCTGCAACTTTGCTGGCCATTCCTGGGCTCAGGTGAGCTCCACATGTCTTCTCATTTCAGGACATAGGCTGAAGATTCAGTCTGAGATCTGCTGTTCTCATGGTGGACAGCACACAAAGGAGTGCCAGTGGAAACCCACTATATTTCCTGAAGAATCTTCTGTCCTTTCTGTTCTCCTTCAGCTGGTTGAAGTAAGCCACATGAACAAATCCAAAAACAATAGAGTGGGGCTATACACCACCTGATGAGAGAGAGCAAATAATCCAATCCACCTCAGAAGCTAGCAGCAACCATCATCATCATCATGTCATCTTATCACATCATCACATCATCATCATCACCATCATCATCACACTTTCACCATCATCACATCATCATTACTGACATCATCATATCACCATTACTGACACCATCATTACTGACATCATCACATCATCGCCACAATCATCATCACATCACCATCATCACCGTCATCATCACCATCAGCATCACATCATCACCATTATCATTACATCATCATCATCACCATTATCATCAAATCATCATCACCATTATCAAATCATCATCATCACCATTATAATCAAATCATCACCATCAACTTATCACCATCATTACATCATTATATCATCATCACATCATCACCATTATCATTACATCATCATCACGTCATCATCACCATTATCATCAAATCATCATCATCACATCATCACCATCATCACATCATCCTTATCACCATTATCACCATATTCATCACATTATCACCATCATCACCTGATCCTCATCACCATCATCACCATCATCATCGCATTATCACCATCATCACATCATCATCTTCATATCATTATCATTAAGATCATCATCACATCATCACCATCATCACCTCATCCTCATCACCATCATCACCATCATCATGGCATTATCATCATCATCACCTGATCCTCATCACCATCATTACCATCATCATCACATCATCACCATCATCACCTCATCCTCATCACCATCATCACCATCATCACATTATCACCATCATCACATCATCATCTTCATATCATTATCATTACCATCATCATCACATCATCACCATTATCATTACATCATCATCACATCATCATTATCACATTATCATCATCACATCATGATTATCACCATCATCATATCATCATCATCATATCATTATCATCATCACCACATCATCACATCACCATTATCATCAAATCATCATCATCACACCATCACCGTCATCATCACATCAGCATCATCATCATATTATCGCCATCATCACGTTATCATCATCACCACCATCATCATATCATCGTTATCTCCATCATCATCATCACTACTGTCATCACATCATCATCCTTAACATCATCATCATTACATCATCATCACCATCAGTATCATCACCATCACCATCACATCATCATCATCATATCATGAGCCCAAAATGATTGAAACAGTCTGTGATAGCCACACGAATGTGCCCACTGTAGAATATTCATTTCTTCTTTTAGTTGTTGTTTCTGGTCTATTTGGTGTCTCACATTGTATCTCAAGGATGATATGACTCACATGTAGCTAGCTTAGATGAGGTGCCCAGCAATGTGACAAGGGGGGCTGTCAGGGGAAGGGATGATGGGACCTCAGATTTTTATAGATTAAAATGCAGACCCAAAATGCAGAAATGAACTCACATTACAAAACAGAAATATTCTCCAAAGCAACTTACCAAGGAAATTTCCAAAATGGGCTACATTTTTGAGAAGATATCACTTTGACTTTTAAGCTATCTTATTTTTATACCTCCTTGGCCTTCAATTGTTGGAGGCACCTGACAAGTCAGCTTAAAGCGTCTCTTCTCCCAGGCCTTTAAGAAGCTAGCTTTGCCCAACAAATCCCCATAAAGAAATGCCATGGTGAAATAGTTCGTAAGGTGAGACTCTGCAAGCTTCCTCATTCATGTATCTTTTTTCCAAGTATATGTGTGTTTATGGAGTTTGAGCTGGTAAGTTGTAGGTATAGATCAACTTCTATCCTTATGTGTTACTATGTGAGAAAAGATTATCCGAAACTGAAGTTAACACAGAGGATAATATATGTGAGACATGGAGAGAGAATTGCTAAGCGTATAGATTGAGCAGCTGTATCAAGCTATACCTGAACTGACAACGTTGACTTTTCACTTACAAGTACCAATAAATTCCTTGGTTTTGTATTTGTTTAATGGATTTCAGTTGTCAATCAAAAGAATCCTGACAAGTACACAATTCATCCATTCAAATGTTCATTCATCAAATAGTTCTCAAGAACTCTTCTGTACCGGGCACTGGTCTCTGTTTCTTGGCGCTCACAACCCAAAGAAAGAGAAAACTCCAAGTAGTCATCTGGAAGTGATTAATTCTGTATTCTTGAGAATCTGGACATGTTGTGGATTGCTTGGGCAGTAGTTGTGTTCGTCCTCCACAAGCTACCTGACAGCTTCAGTTTCTTGGAACCTGGTTAGGGAGAGGCTACAAAAAAATGCTTAGATAAACACAGACAAAGTGTTTATCTTAGCAAACACAGAAAAAGTGCCATGCTTTTAAAATGTTACTTTACCCTGCCCCCACCCCAACATCAAACTTGTTTAAAAGGCATAAAATAGCATGTCTACAAATTCTTCTCATGAATGGTGATATTGTTCTAAGTTTGGGCAGTGAAGAAAGGAACCTAATCTAGTCAGCTCAGCTTTTCAGCCTTGTCATCCCTCCTCCTTCGTTGTATCTGATAATCCAGCCCTCCCCAGCTCCCCTAGCCTTCTGCTGAGGTCTGTACAGGGAACAGTAAAGAGGTGTAAGAATCTTTTGACAAAATCTCATATTTAAACTGCTCCAGCTTATTCATGTCTGTTGAGAATACTTGCTTTTCCTGTGTCACTGAGCTTTCTCTCAGTGCAGTCGACAGGCCAAATACTTGAAACTTTTCTCTTAGCTAATCTGGCTTTAATAAAAGAAAGTGCTCCCTTCCTAATGCTTCCCTTGCATCTTCTGAGAGGTGTGACTGATTATTTTACACACTTTGGAAAGCTCTTTCCTATCCCCAAGTGGTTAATCGCCTCCTTAACTATTGAAGGTCATTTTCTGTGTTTTGTTAGATATAGTTGTTGTATAATTCAGGCCATATTTTAAGTTTCTACTTAAGTTTTACGTTGTCCTTTTCTGACAGAATTTTCTAACCACAGAGATGCTAGCCCATTTTGGAGAATTTATTTGAAATGTTGAGTGCTTTATTTTCTCCAGATAGCTTGCATATATTCCAACATTCTCCTTGCATTTCACTTTGTTGTGCAAATCAGTTTCTACAAAGCAGCTTTTACCTTATAGTCCAGGTCGTCTCCACTTTCTGATTCACTCTTTATAGCCAATTCCAAGTTGCCATCCTCCTGCACCTTCTCAAAGGACAGCTGGAAAATCTGTCACCTTCAGCTGCTTTCTATCAGAGTCATAAGCTGACCCTGACTCTTACAACATGATCCCTGCATGTGTAAGATGTTTTCTACTCATTCAGGTCCTTCTCTCTTCCTTCCCTTTTCTGTTTCCTATGAAAGCAAGCTAGACTTCAAAAGAAGATGAGTATTTTTGCCAAAGCTACCTATTGGTGATATCTGAAGTTGAAGTTCATCTGAGAGAACCCTAAGGCACTTTTTGGCTTAAACCACTTGGGATTGGAGTGCTTTTTATTTTTTTAAAAAAAGCTACCTTTGAATATGAGCCATAAACAGTTGAAATGAAAGGTTAGGGGCTCTTTTTCCAGTTCTTTGAGGAGAACTTTGTTCTCAGCCAAAGATATATTTGCTCAGATTTGTATTCCTTGGTGCCAAAATAAGTATCTGAAACTTGTCCAAAGTGCGTGCCTCAACTGAAGGTGACTCAAGGTCTCCATAAGCTTTGTAAGCAGGCGAGGCTTGTCACGAACACCATGAAATGTTTTAACATGTGCAGAAAAATCTTTGGACCACCATTGTCCCCTCCTTAGAGTCAGCTGAATATTTACTATAAAAACAAACACAGAAGTAGTTGCCACCCTCTCTCAAGGAAAGCCCGTAGCAACCTGGGCCTTATCTCAAACCTTCAGACACCACCACCAAAGTCCTGCCCAGCTTCTCTGGTTGAGCTGGAAGTGGCACGGTGTAGCATTCAGCACTGCAGGACCCCGCAGATCACAACAGGCCATACAGAACCCTGCAGAGTGCTCCACTGGGAACCCAAGCAGCAGCCTGACAACCAGGGAAGAGCATCCGGAGAGCTGACGACGTGGGGGCCAGGTTTAATAAGGAAGAATTGTCAAACCATTCTGTCAAGGAACACAGATAATGAGAACATTTGTGTAGATAAGGTGGAGTTGGATATGTGTGCTTGAAGCCGCAGGTAGACGGCCTATGACTCTAGCTATTCTAGACCCCAGCAGGTCCCACAAAACACTAAGAGAATCAAAGTTAAGCTGGTTGCCTGTTCTCCGTGCCTGTGGTTTCTGGCATCAAGGCTGGGCCTCCTGCAGTGGGAGGGGTGCCTGCCTTGTCATCCTCTGCTGCTCCTTCCTCTCCATTTAAACTTTTCTCTGGCAGCCCAGCAGCCTGGCCCTGTCTACAAAGGTCACAGGAATCTTCCTCTCCATGTCTTCCTGCCTAGTTTTGTTTTCTTTTCTGCAGGGGCAGGAGGCGGAGGAAGAGAACGATTCTAAGATTGCAGGGAATCTGGCCACAAGTGCAGGAACAGAAGCAATAAGGGCCTTACCAAGAAGAGTCAGTTTTTACTTGCCTTCTTTGTTTTGGAAGATAACAGTTTTTCTCATGACATGACCTATTTTATGTAGAACTGAATAAAGTGCAACAGACAGATCTTAAGCATACGGTTCTGTGATTTTTTTTTTTTTTTTGAGATGGAGTCTCACTCTGTTGCCCCGGCTGGAGTGCAGTGGTGCGATCTTGGCTCACTGCAACCTCTGCCACCCGGGTTCAAGCTATTCTCCTGCCTCAGCCTCCTGAGTAGCTGGGATTACAGGCATGCACCACCACACATGCTAATTTTTGTATTTTTAGTAGAGACAGGGTTTCACCATGTTGGTCAGGCTGGTCTCAAACTCCTGGCCTCGTGACCCACCTGCCTCAGCCTCCCAAAGTGCTGGGATTACAGGCATGAGCCACCGCACCTGGCCAGTTCGGTGAATTTTTAAAAAGGCTTTTACCAATGTAATCCAGTCCTTGATCAAGATAAAGAACATTTCCATGACCCTAGTTAAGTCCTTTTCTGGTCAATATGCTCCCCGTGTGAAGGCAAACACTGCTCTGCTGTCCAGCCCCATAAATAAATCTGCCTACAGTTGAATGTCACGTAAATAGAATAATATAGTATATGCTTTTTTGGGTTTACCTTCTCTTATTTCACTCACTTGGTTCATGGAGTGGCATAATCAGTAGCTTGTTCCTTTTTAGTTCTGAGGAGCACGCCACTGTTGGATGAAGAGATAACTGTTCACCCAGTCCCCTGTTGATGGCTATTTTGGTTGATTCCGGTTTTTGTCTATTATGAATAAAGTTGCTATGAACATTCTTATTTGTGTCTTCATGTGGAATCATATTCTTATTCCTTCTGAATAAATACCAAAGAATGTGATTCTTAGGCAATATGGTTAAGTGTATGGTTAACTTAACAAGCCATTGGCAAAATATTATCCAAAATGATGATAGTATTTTACAGCCCTGCCAACAAAATCTAAAAATTATGTTTCCTCCACATCTTTGCCAACAATGGGTGTTTCCATCTTTTTTTTAAACATTTAAGTTCAGAAATACTTATGCAGGTTTGTTACATAGGTAAACTTGTGCCATGGAGGTTCGTTGGGCAGATTATTTCATCACCCAGGTATTAAGCCTATTACTCATTTGTTATTTTTCCTGATCCTCTCCCTCCTCCCACCCTCCACCTTCCAATAGGCACCAGTGTCTGTTGTTCCCCTCTATCTGTCCATGTGTTGTCATCAACTAGTTCCCACTTGTAAGTGAGAACATGCAGCATTTGGTTTTCTGTTCCTGGTGTCACTTTGCTAAGTATAATGGCCTCCAGCTCCATCCATGTACTTGCAAAAGACATGATCTCATTCTTTTTTATGGCTGCATAGCATTCCATAGTGTATCTGTACCACATTTTCTTTATCCAGTCTATCATTGATGGACATTTAGGTTGATTCCATGTCTTTGCTATTGTGAATATCAGCCATGATAGATGGTGTTTAGTAGTATTTTATTACGGTTTAAATTTGCATTTCCTTGATGGCAAATGGTATAAGGTATTCTTTCTTGTGCCATTCATAGATCTTCTTTTCAGAAGTTTCTATTCAAATATACTCCCCATTTTAAATTGTGATGTTTGTCTTTTTATTGAGTCAGTTGCTCCTCACATATTCTAGACACAACTCTTAGATTGAGAATACTTTCCTCTACTCTGTGGATTGCTTAGTTATTTGAATAATGATGTCTTTTGAAAAACATAGGTTTTTTATTTTTATAAAGTATAATTTATTAATTTGCTTTTTGAGGCAAAGTGATTTGGGGCCTTAATTAAGAAATCTTTTCTTACCCCAGGATTGAAAGAAAAATGTTCTCCCATGTTTTCTTCAAACAACTAAAGTTGTAATTTCAATTTAGTCGAATTTTCAACTAATGTTATAAATTTTAGTTTTTACATTTAGGTCTGTAACTGAATCTAGACTTTTGTGTGGTATGAGGTAGGACTGAATTTCATTTTTCTTTACATATATATATCAAGTTTTCTCACTATTTCATGAAAAGACTTTCTTTACTCCATTGAATTCCTCAGACTCCTGTGTTCAAAAATCAAACAATTATAAAAGAATGAATTTATTTCAGGACAATATTCTGTTTCAATGATTTATTTACATATCCTTATATCAATACTAAATTATATTTAATTACTGTAGCTTTTAATATGTCTTGAAATTGGGTAATCTAAGTCTTCAAAGATTGTTTGTTTTCAAGATTGTTTTGGCTATTCTAAGTACTTTGCATTTCCAATTAAAATTTTAGAATCAGCTTGTCAATTTCCATGACAAGGAAGGCTGGGATTTTTATTGGGATTGTTTTCAATCAATAGATCACATTGGGAAAATCAACATCTTAACAATGTTGAGTCTTTCAATCCAGAAACATCTCTCCATTTATTGTGTCTTCAACTTCTTTCAGCAATATTTTGTATTTTTACTACAGAGGACTTGCAAACACTTGTTATATTTATTCTTAAGTATTTTATATTTCTGGATATTATAAATTGTATTATTCTTTAATTTTATTGTATAAATTTTAATTTCTAGGATATAGAAATAACAGTGAATTATTATGTACAGGCCTTGTATCCCATGACCTTGCTTTTTTTTTTTTCTTTCTGAGATGAAGTCTCACTCTGTCGCCCAGGCTGGAGTGCAATGGCACGATCTTGGCTCAATGCAACCTCTGCCTCCCGGGTTCAGTCAATTCTGCCTCAGCCTCCTGAGTAGCTAGGATTAGAGGCATGCACCATCACACCCAGCTAATTTTTGTATTTTTAGTAGAGATGGGGTTTCACCATGTTGGCCAGGCTGGTCTCAAACTCCTGACCTTGTGATCTGCCCACCTCGGCCTCCCAAATTGCTGGGATTACAGGCATGAGCCACTGCTCCTGGCCATGACCTTGCTTTTAATATTGTTTGTTGTCTGTTTTTGGTATCAACATTAATGATGGATTCATAAGTTGGGCTGTTTGCTCCTCCTCTGTATTTTGACAGCTTTTCTTTAAAAATAATATTATTTCTTTCTTACATATTTGACATAATTCATGAGTAAAGCCACCTAGACCTTAAGTTTTCTTTGTGGAAAATCTTTGAATGTATTCATTTGACATGAATCCATACATATTTTGATTCTTTCTCTTCTCAGTTTTGCCTTTCAAGGACCATTTTATCTAAATTGTCTATTTTATTGACAAAGTTATTCATAATATTTCATTATTAACCATTTTATATCTGTACAGTTGTAGTAATTTCCTCTTTTTTGGCTGATATTGGTAATTTGCATTTTTTATTTCATTCATCTTACTAGGAATTTATTGATTTTATTACTTTTAAGGAAACAAATTGTTACCTCATTTTTTCTATTGTTTTTCTATTTTATTTATGTCTGATTATTATTTATGCCTTCTTCCTACCTATTTTGGTATTAATTTGTTTTTTTACATACTCCTTAGGTGATCATTTAGATCAAGGGGTGGCAAACTCTGTTTCTAAAAAAGGCCAGATTATAAAATATTTGAGATTTTGTGGACAATACAATCTCTGTTAGAGCTATTCAAATTATCATTCAGTTCAAAATGTTCCTGATTATTGTGATTTCTTTCTTAACCATGAGTTCTATAGAATTATGTTGCTTAATTTCTAATATTCGGAGATTTTTCAAGATAACATTTTTCCAGTTGATTTCTAATTTAATTTTGTTGTGATCAGAGTACATGTACTATAGGAATTCAATCTTTTAAAGTTTATTAAGAGTAGTTTCATGGCCCAATATAGGTTCTATCTTGGTGAATGTTCTATGGGTATTTGAAAAACATGTTCAGTTATTGAATGTAGTGTTTTATGTATTTAAATTGATTGACATTATAGTTCCAATTAACTATATCTTTTTTGTTTTTATACTTGTATCAGTTCTGAAAGAAGAGTATTGAAATCTTCCACCATAGAGATAGATTTTTCTAAATTTTCATTTAGTTCTGTTATTTTTTGCTTATTATTTTGAGGCTCTACTTTTAGGTGCACTGCCATTTAGGATTTTCATGTCTTCTTGATAAATTGACTGCAGTGTTATTGTTGTTGTGATGATGCTGATGATGATGTAATTCATCTTTGATCATATTCTGTTTTAGTATGCTTTATCTGATACTTAACCTAGCCATTCTGGGTCTTTTGTGATTTGTTTTGCATATACCTTTACCCAAATTTTTACTTTTAACCTCTTTATATATAAAGAGGTTATATATATATATATAACCTCTTGTAGATTACATGTGATTGGGTCTTCCTTTTGGTCTAGTCTGACAGTACTGATATGTTGAATTTGAGTCTACCATCTTGTTTTTTCTTTCTATTTGTCATCTGTTCTTTTTCACTTTTTCATTCCTTCCTGAATACCTTTATAGCAAGTATAACTTGACACTGCAATTTATCTCCTCTACTGCCTTATTAGCGATATCTCTCCACTTTTAGTCTTTTCCTAGATAACTATTTATCACTTTCTACCATGAATTAATATTGATCACTTCATGTATAATGTAAAACCTTAGCAGTGTACCTCAATTTAATCCTTCTTGTGCTTTGCGTTATTACTTTACATATATGTGTATGTATATATGAATAAAAATATATATACACACACATATATGTGTGTGTGTATGTCTGCCTGTGTGTGTGTGTATCCATGAAAGGGGCCTAATAGTAAGCTTGAATTGACAGAAGAAAGAATCAGTGAACAAGAAAGATTGATAGAGATTATGCATCCAAAGAATATAAAGAACATGGAGGAAAAAAAGAACAAAGAAAAATGAACAAGTCCCTGAGAATTGTGGGAAACCATTCAATACACCAATATATGGAAAAGGGGGGTACAAAAAGGAGGGAAAAGACAGAAAGAAACAATAAATTTTTTTAAGTAATGGCTAAAAATGTCCTAAACTTGATGAAAAACATTATCTATTCATCCAGGAAGCTCAACACAGTCCAAATTGAGTAAATTCAAAGAGATATACATTAAGACATAATAATAACAATGTTGGAAGTCAGAGAAAATCCTGAAAGTAGAAAAAGAAAAACAACTCATCACACACAAGGAAATCATAACAAGATTAATAGTTGCCTTTGCATCAGAAACAATGGAGGCCAGAAGGCAGTGGAATAACATATTCAAAATGATGGAAGATCAAAACTATCAACCAAAAGTCCTATAGCTAGAAAAATTATTTTTCAAAAAGGAAAACTAAAGATACTCCCAGATAAACTAACACTGAGAGAATTCGTTGCTAGCAGACTTTTCTTATAAGAAATACTAAAAGAAGTTCTTCAGGCTGAAAGTAAGTGACCCCAGACAGTAATTCAAATACACACACACATACACACAAATGGCACTGGCAAAGACAGTAATGTAATTATAAAACATTGTAGAGATACTAGTGCCATTTGCGTGTGTGTGTGTGTGTGTGTGTGTGTGTGTGTGTGTGTGTTTGAATTATTGTCTAGGATGAGTTCATATCTTTTTCAGGGACATGGATGAAGCTGGAAACCATCATTCTCAGGAAACTATCACAAGATCAGAAAACCAAACACCACATGTTCTCACTCATAAGTGGGAGTTGAACAATGAGAACACATGGACACAGGGAGGGGAACATCACACACTGGGGCATGTCGGGGGGTTGGAGGCCAGAGGACAGATAACATTAGGAGAAATACCTAATGTAGGTGGTGGGTTGATGGGTGCAGCAAACCACCATGGCACGTGTATACCTATGTAACCAAACAGCATGTTCTGCATATGTAACCCAGAACTTAAAGTATAATTTTAAAAACCATACTATCAGTGCATATCCCATCTATCTTAACTGATTTTAAAAAGCAATTGTATAACACAACATAAATATATTTGAATTGTTGGTCCTATAATGTATTTAAATGCAATATACTTGAGAAAGACAGCATAAATAAAATGACAAGGAGCAAAGCTGTGTGTGCATAATGAAATAACATCACATATTTACTCAAGTCCACCAGAACAAAGAGAATCAGAATGACAAATAAGAAGCTTAATATAACAAATTCTATAAATATATACTTTATCTCCTCTCTGCTCTCAGCTTCTTTAATAGACATAAATGATATATTTAAAGTAATAATTATAACTATAAATAATTGTATTTGTAACATATATGGTGTACCTTGTATAACAATAATACCACAGGAAAAGGGGGTTGATATAGAGCTATGTAGGAATAATGCTTCTATATCTCCCTGGAATTAAGTTAGTACAAATCTGAAGTTAAGACATAGATGGCAAGCTCAAGTACAACCACTCAAAAATAACTCAACAAATAGTGAAAAATCTATTAAAATGTTACATTGGAAAATGTTTCTTAATGCAAAAAAGTACAATAGAAATACAGGAATAAAAATGTCATGAGATATTTTTATGGCAGAAATAAGTCCAGCTCCATCAATCGTAACATTAAATGTGGATGGATTAAACATTCCAATAAAAATCAGAGATTGTAAAATGTATTTTTTAAAAGATTCAACTATGTGCTATCTACACATTTTAGACCCAGAGATACAAATAGATTGAAAGTAAAAGAATGGAGAAAGATATGTCATGCAAACAGCAACTACAAAGAAGCTGAAGTGGTTGTACTAACATCAGACAAAATCAACGTTCAATTTTTAAAAACGTTATTAGAGGTAAAGATATAAAAGTGCTAAAATAATAAAAAGGCCACACCACCACAAAGATATAACAATAATGACTATATATGCATACCTAATAACAGAGCCCCAAAATATATGAAGCAAAATTGGACAGCATCAGGGAGATAATTCAACAATACTAGTTGAAGATATCTATTATATCCGTCACTGTAAAAGTGTTAGCTAGAAGGAATAAGAGGTGCTGGCTTCCCAGCATTCCATCTTTCCCCCAAAGAACAGCACTGAGCAAGGGTCAGCTGGATACAATGCAGAAGAAGAAATTACCTTACTGCCAAGGAGCCCTGAACAAAAGGCTCCTGCCTCTTTATGAAACTGAGCTGTGGAAAGGCAGAAAACAAAGTACTGAGTCTAAACCATTAAATAGAGACTTACCATATGACCCAGCAATCCTACTCCTAGATATATACCCAAGAGAAGCGAAAACATATGTCCACACAAGAATATGTATATGAATATTTGTCACAAACAACTCATGCCCAGCAAGCGATGGGTAGAGAAATAAAATGTGGGGTATCCGTGTAATGGAAGATTTCTTTGCCCTAAAAAGGAATAAAGTACTGATATATGCTATAAGTTGGATCAATTTTGAAATCAGTATGCTAAGTGAAAGAAGTTTGGCACAAAATACACAAATTTTGTGATTCTATTCATATGAGATGTTCGGAAAAAAATGCAAATCTACAGATACAGAAAACAAATTTGTGGCTTTCTAGACCTAGTGGGTTGAGGAAAATGGACTGACTGCTATCAAGTACAGGGTTTCTTTTAGGCAAAATGAACATATTCTAAAATTGATTGTGGTAAAGATATGAATATACTAAAAGCTACAGAAGTCTATACTTTCAATTGTTTTGTATGCGAAGTGTATCTCCATATGCCTGTTAACAAATGAAAGGTGAACTCAATCTCCTACACACACGTGTGGGTGTGGGTGCAGGACGTATGTGGGAAATCTCTGAACCTCCAGCTCAATTTTGCTATAAATCAAAAAGTGCTCTAAAAAATAAGGTCTAATTAGAAAAACAAAGTAAACCCAAGCAAAAGTAGCTGATTTTGATTTTCTAGTGTGAATGTCTCATTAGTGTTTGGGCTGATACAAGACAGATTAGTTCTTGTAAAAAAATGTATTTTTATAAAAGCATTTAGCTTATTTACCTTACTTAGCCTCAAAAGGGCTCACAGTTTCTCGAACTGAGCAGGTACCTGCCTTCCTGCCCCACTCGTCACTCTTGGATGGGTTTTGTGGTTTGTGTTGAATCCCAAAGCTTTACTGATTCCAGGTATGTATTTAAGCACAGCAAATAATCCGTAGGATCAAACAGTTGTTCTAAAATCACTCAATATCCACCTCCTCTCCATTCTCCCATCCTCTCTCTCCATGGGTACTTTCATTTCCTAAAAACACTGCTGAAACTAAAAATAAAGTAGAATTTGAATTTTTAGCAATCTTGACAGAACACTCTACAGGAGCATTCCCCAAAGTGTGCAATGCAGTCCATGAGGATTTAAATAGGTTTAGACGAAAATAAGCAAATAACAAATCTAATTAATAAATAATTAATTTAAATGGGGAAAATGAAAAAGAAAATAAAAGTGGGTAACGTATAGAAAATTCAGAGTTAAGGAATGCTTAAAATGTTTTTTTTCACAGCCATATTTCTCAAAGTCTTAAATATGGCCTGAAAATCTTCATGGGAGAAGATTAAAAAGCATTCCCAAAAACAGAATGTGTTCACAGAATTATATTTTTTAGTGATTTGTTTCTTTTTTTCATCATCTAATCTGGCCAAGCTTAGTTATAACACCCTTGGAGAAATATCATGCTAAAGAGTTCACTACAGTGTGACCCAAACATATTTTACTTCAAATCTGCCTACTCAGTTCACGTGCTCCATCAACACCTTTAAACTCTTTTTTCCCCCCATTTAAGAACTGAACAGAATTCAGGACATGTTCCCAGGCACCCATCTCCTAGATGATCATACACTCTTTGGAGTAAGAAACACCTTAACACCTCAGACCCAAATCTAGAGCCCTGTACATGGCTGATATGCTGTAGGTTTGTTTTTCAAATATAACTCAGGTCACCTCTCCTTCCTGCTGGTGGCCTGCTCACCCCCTTCCCAGAGGAATCACAATACAAAGTCTGAGCTCCACAGCGAGGTTCCCTGACTCAGCCAGGCTCTAATGAGCTCCTGTCCCTTACATTTCAAGAACATGGAACTCCATACCTCTGTGTGTGCTGCTTCCTTAGCCTGGGATATGATTTTGACTTTTATCTGACCATAAAGAATTTATACCCAATCACTACTGCCAGAATTCTCTCTTCCTCAAAGTATCAGCTCACTGCAGTCATGGGTTTTCATTGCCCCTTTGCCAGATCCATAAACCTGGTAATAAGGTAGATGTTTTTTACCTTTTATTGTCACATTAATCAAATTAGTGGTTATTTTGGATCATTATTTCCCATTTCATATGAAAGTGTTCCTCTCATCATGAAAAACAAGCTGTTTTCCTGTTTTGCCCTATAATTTTATGTTAAGTAAAGCATATTGGTGGTTTTAAAATCTAGAATATTGAAGACTTGGGTAATGTGAGGTTTTTAAAAAGTATTTCACTTCTCATACTCTTATTTCAACCACATAATCGTTGTTATAAATAGATAAAATAAAGTGAACAGCGCCCTTGGTTCCATAATTTACCAATAGGTCTCCTATTTCCTGTGCCTTCTCCAAACACACTTCTCATCACCAGGATGAAGACAACATCAGGTGATTCCTGGAACCAGAGCGATCTCTCAGGGCCGCTGCAGACCCCACATATGCTCTTCCATCTGAAGGTTCCACTACAAGGCATATCTAACGTTTATGGTAAAACCACATGTAAATATGAAATGCATTTCTTTGGTAAAATTATTGTTTTGCCTATGAAATTATCTGGTTTTAAATACTCTTTATCATTTTCAATAGGCTACAATTTATTGGTATTCACTGTAAGCATTTGAAAATTCTTGGAAAGTTAGGAAGTCCCACCATGGATTGTTTTCAAACGTCATGAAAATTTCATGGGTTCTAAACTTAGCAGTGATGAAGTTGGCATAATATTAAGTCTTGTAGGCATTTAAACATAATCTGCAGTCATTTTAGGTTTGGTAGTTTCCCCTTTGCATTTGAGAGTCTGGATATGGAGTTGGAACTGCCACAGGGCTGACAGAGGTCTCCAAACATCAGAACTCGATTTCAGATCATGTAAGGAAAGACAGGAAGTTTAGAGGCTCCTTGAGAAGAAGAGAAAGGTTAGGACCAAAGAGCTCTTTAGTTTATAGATCCTCCAGGTACAGCAGCTTCAGACTTGCAGCAGTTATTTCATCATGCTCCCTAGATGAGCTTTAAGGGCTAACATTTCCTAATTAAATAGGAAGGAACCCTCCCAAGGACAGATGTGACTCATATAAAGTGACAATGATGAACAATAACATGCTCCCTGAATTGGCTCTTGGTTAACATCGCTTTCCCAATTTTTCCTCCTTCATCTCTGATCACCTTCTCAATAGACACAGAAAGGGACACTAGTCATCCAGTTAACAGACACCATAATGTATAAAAATCCAAATATACATTCTTTTTTTTTCCTCACTCTGTCCCCCAGGCTGGAGTACAATGGCGTGATCTCGGCTCACTGCAACCTCTGCCTACCGGGTTCCAGTGATTCTCCTGCCTCAGCCTCCTGAGTAGCTGGGACTACAGGCGTGCTCCACCACACCTGGCTAATTTCTGCGTTTTTAGTACAGACAGGGTTTCACTAAACATGTTGGCCAGGCTGGTCTCGAACTCCTGACCTCAAGTCATCTTCCTGCCTCGGCCTCCCAAAATGCTGGGATTACAGGCATGAGCCATCACGCCCGGCCCTAATATGCATTCTTATTCCTGCTGAAAAGGGCACTGGAAGGCTCCTAGGTCATAGAAGGTCTTTGAGATTTTGTGAAATAAAGTAAAAAACACTGAAATTGGAAATATAAGCTCCCCCCTGCTTTGTATGAAAAAAAAACTATTAATATTAGGTAATGTCAATGTCAGTATTGTCATTAATCTTGCAGGTTTAAAACAAGAATACCTGAATATACAATGTACAAGTTCATGCTAACAATTTTTAGGACAAGTATTATTTAAATATTTAGAATACTAAAAGATCAATTTTCAACAGCATTGACCCATAATAATCTGTAGCACCAAGCAAGGTTCTCTATTATGTGTAGCTCAAGCCAAGTTTGTGTCCAATCCACCATGGAAACTCACCTGTAGATTAACTGTGCGCCAAGGTGGCGTCAGAGGTCTTGGAGATGCTGCCTTCTTGAGTTCTGTTTTACATCGTTGTTTAAAGGAAGTGTCAAGGCATCGAAGAAATGGTTGTATTTCAGCCATATTCTGTTTATAAAGTTATTGCCCTTTGCATGAAGGGAAGGGATTTCTGTAAACAACTCTTTATGTCTAGAGTAGTGCTGACCATGCTATTGGTTAAGAAACTGCCACAGACCCATGTAACTATCACAGGGAGCATGGATGTTGGCTTAAGACTGCCATGGTTATCTGAGAAAGCCAACGTGACACTGTCATGGGCGGGTATTTGCATTTCTAAAGCTGAATTCTAAGAGATTTTAGTTAGCAATGGCAGACTTTAGTTCAGGCAACATAGCCATTAAAGCCAATTGTCTGGAGAGGGTAGAGGTATGGCATGGTAGAGGTCCTTTGCCTGGTTAATATTTGCAGAGCAGTGGAGACTCAACACATTGAAATATTTTAGTTGTTATGGAGTTAAATGTAACACATCCCAAGACTATGAACATGAACTGGAATTTTTGGTGCCTGAATGAGCTTTCCTGCCACTCAGACCTCATAAATACTTTCCTGCCACTTCAAACTTCTCCCTACAGGCAGAGACATATCTGAATAAAGCTTTTTCTCTCGTTAAAACTCAACTTCGTCAGCTTTAAAGAAAAATTGACTTTTCTTCCCCTTTTCCAAGAGCTGAGTTTGCATGTCTTAGCTATAGACATTCATGGGGCACCACTGTCTTCTTTCTGGATGGTCCCTTCCTAATGTAGACAAGGGCCCAACATGATGTTTTGCCAAAGTATTTTCTTTGGGGCTCAAGAGCCAGCCCATTTCTCTGGGAATCTTGCCCTTATGCTTAAATAAGCCATTGTTTTCCTTTATTCTCAAGGTCTCAGCCCATAACTGCCATCAAGAACCTGAAGACATAGCTTCCTCTATGCCAGACTTAAGGACATCTAAATATCTACCTCTGAACACCTATTTGAAGAAAAGATTATTTCCTGGAACCTACCAATTAATTGTTTTACTATAACAAGGAATCATCCAACATGTTTTATTTCTTCGTTTTCAAAATGTTTGGAAGTGCCTTTACAGAGACATTAAATATACGGTGGAACATACACAACAGATCATACTGAAACCATAGGTAATATAATGAGATAGATACATTATACAAAAAGGTATATAGAAGCACAATGTCATAACAGCATGCTCTGTTTATAATATCTGGTGTTTACCAGGGAACAAGAATCCAATTCAGAAATGTGGAAAGTAAGGGATAACACCTTTTCAAATGCCAGACAAAACTTGTCCCCACTGTTTGCTGCCTTGCAATCACCCCAAAGCACACTACTGGCTGGGCTGTGTAGGTTTGGCCACTCACTATGTTCTGCAGCTGAGATCCGGTCCACCTGCCTGAGAAGAGTCTGAGGCTGGGAACTGATACCTAAGATGCACATTTCAATTTTGAGACAACAGCATGCCCTGTAGACACACATTAAACATGAGCAGTATTGTAAAAATTATTTGCCATGGGAAGACACACACTACCTCCCTCTAAGAGCACGGGTCTGTTGCATGATACACGCTATGTGGATGTGACTATCTTTCAGTGTTTTATAGCCACTTATTTTTCCCTAGGTTTGATCATTTCCTTATGACTTAATTCTCCACTCTCAGCCTTTCATAGTTATGGTGTTTGCTTATGCCCACAAATAATGTGTGGGGAATACCTAGAAGACCCCTGTAATGGAGGTTGGACAATTGGTTTTGTTCTTGGAATCCACACTGAATGCCCTTGCTAGAAGTCCAAAATAAGGGTCACAGCAGAGGATAACTACAGAAAGGAAGTCACTTGGCAATCAAGTCCCTCCATGGGCCAGTTCATCTTTGGGCATGTGAACTGGTGGCTCTGGGGTAATTCACTGCACTGCAGCAACTGAGATGGCAATATGTCCGATGGACATTTCCAGGTGTGCCCGATGGAAACGGTCACCAACCAGATTAATGAAATGAGAAGGCTGAGTGCCTGGGCCAGTGTGCTTATCAGTGCCAGATGTGTGCTCCTTCTCAGCCTGTAATATTCATGGAAATGGAAAATGCTTCTACTATGTGGGAAATACATGGATAAAACAGAGATCCTAAAGCGGTTATGATGGAGGAAAAAGGCACGCTCTTTGAGGAAGCATCTCTAAGTGAAATAACTATATCATATGGTCAGTGTTGACACTGGCATTCTGTTATTTCATTCAGAAAGTCAAATTCTTACAAAGGAGATAACAATAACGTGGCAGACTATTTCAGCTCCAGCCTTACAATGGGAAACAGAAAGTCTCACTTGCTTTTTTGGCCACAGGAAGTACAGAAAGATGTGTCAGGTCAAAAGTTATTTCAGCCATCCCAAAGAAGTAATATTTCCAAACAGGTTTGAAAAAAATCAGCATTACATAGACCCCAAATCCCAAAGCGGCATCCATCTCTCTGTAAAGTGCTTTACTCCAATGGGCAATGTAGATGTATAGAGAGGTCTTCTATCCTCTCAGTTCCTGCAGCATCTAAAGAGACTCCCGTGAGACTCTTGTCGTTAACATGAAATTACAATGTTTCATTTGAACAACTGACCAAGAGCAGCATTAAATCCAAAGAAATTTTAAAGGCATCTCATAGAATATGAAGATTGTCCAATATTGTAAGTTGATAACATTATTGCTTGCTTGGACTGGGAAGATAATTTCCCTAATGAACTTGAACTGTTATTTCTTATCTGGAAAATGATGGTGTCCTAGTTGTCTTGAGTCATAGAATAGTCTATAAACACAGTAACCCAGATGAAAATGTTTCTGCGCTTTTTTTTTGTATTTTTAAAAATTTCTAAAAGCAAACAACAAAAAAACTTCAGAACCTATCTCAATTGTATAAAACCATAAAGAAACTAACAGGCATTAAGGATTTCAATACCAAAAAATTTCAAATGCCGTGTTTACATTTTGCACTCACACACAAAACCTAAAGTGTTCATTCTTTTACAAATCTTACTTCAAACTTTCTTTTATCCTTCTTTTTTTGAAACACATTTTACTAAACTCTATATATGCATGCACGCTGAGATCTGGGGAGAACTGGTTAAGTTCTTTTTGTTTTTCTTGTTTTGTTTCTGTTTGAGACAAAGTCTCGCTCTTGTTGCCCAGGCCAGAGTGCAGTGGTACGATCTTGGCTCACTACAACCTTCACCTCTCAGGTTCAAGTGATTCTCCTGCCTCAGCCTCCAGAGTAGCTGGGACTACAGGCATGCACCACCACGACTGGATAATTTTTGTATTTTTAGTAGAGACAGGGTTTCACCATGTTGCCCAGGCTGGTCTCAAACTCCTGACTTCAGGTGATCTGCCCACCTGGGCCTCCCAAAGGGCTGGACCAGTTGAGTTCTGTGTCAGTGCTCCCATGTTCCCAGGGAAAAGACAAGGAGGAAGCTGTTAGTGCAAAACAGTTACCCAAAGTGCTGAGAAGCAATTCTGATGGGGCTGGGGTTTTGCACCTGGGAGCACATTTTTGGCTCTTTTGCTGCCAATAGTTTAGAGGCAGGAAATCCTGCCTCAGTTTCACAAAGCCAACTCCTGTGTTTACACCCAGTTACCTGAATGATGTCTGAAGGGCCTGGAGAAAGACTAGGTTTGGTATTGGGCATTTATTATGACACGTCAAATTATCGCCAAAGAGGCATCCCTATTCATCCTAAAAGCAAGGAGTAGCATTTGCCAGCATGCCAAAAATGACTCTGCAGTTTCAAGAAATACACACACACCAACAGAGAGCCTCTAGCCCCTCTAGGCACTTGGCAAGTGTACCACCCATCTTTCAGCTGAAACATCTACTTCAGCCTCTCAAAAAGAATCCCCGCCTGTCCTGTGGTTTTCTTAGGTCTCTAGAGCTCTGCCTGTTCTGGAAAGCTCAGCACCCTGGGCCCAGTACAAAGCCCCTGCCCCAGATACATATACAAGACCAAGCCATTGACGAGCAAAGACCAAAGGGTGGACAGAGGTCAAAGGCTCTCAAACACCCGCAGCATCATGCATTTCAGCACTGACTTTCAACATGGTTTGACCCTGGACGGGGCCATGAGAAACAGGAGATCTTTTTCTGAGACATCTGGAGAGAAGCTTTCCCCAGCCTACTAGGATAACAAATAAGAAATGTTTTCAAGGTAAAATACGTTGGCAACTTTTAAGAAATGTTTTCTTTTGATGTCCATTTATTACTGCATCAAGGGTATTAAAATCTCTGGCTGAAAAGAAAAAATAAATCTATATTATAGCCAACCATACAGCTGCTTTATGGAACATGCAGATAAAATAATGAAACAACTGAAGAATGTTTAAATGTTTATTTTCATGTTAAAAACGATGTGTTACCCTGTGGTTAGAATATACTTTTATGCTGAAAAATGAAGTCACTTTATTTCCGAAATATTTCCAGAAAAAAAGAAAAGAAAAAAATCCAAAAGTCAAGAAGAATAAGATGAAAATGTTCTGGCAGATTCCATCATCAATCCCAACATAAGCCACAGCCTTTCTAGGCCAGAATTCCAAATTCAGTGCATTTCATGATGTTACTAGGTCTCAAATGTTTTTCCCACTATCAGTTTAGATATTTTTGAGTGGGATGTCTGTACATTTAAAAGCTACGATTTTGCATGCTTTCACTTTAAAAAACTCGGTGTTTCATTATATTGCCTATATTACATACAAAAATATCTGCAATCCATATTTTAGCATAACTTTTCCACCATCCATACCGTCCCTTTACATGACAGGTGATATGCATTACATCACACATATATAATTTTAATAAAAGGTGAGGGCTGCTGAGTCTATAAACCATCTATTGTGTCATTTACAGAGAATGAAATGGAAAATTGAGACCATTTTTAGGTAACTCGAGTAGAAAACACACTGGTGTCCCTGACTTGTAGGGTTCAGATGAAACCACGCTCTGTGGTCCTTGCTGTGAGACTGAACAGTTCCCTCACAGAGCCTTAATAATAGTTCTCTGACAGGGCCCCGACATCCCAGTAATGGGAAGACCCCTTTCTAAAATAATGAAACAAGAATGCTACCAAAATGCACAAAGGTGGACATTCTAAAAGTTAGCAAGTTAAAAATTACTTAGTCTACAGATGTGGCAATGGGACAAAAATTAATCAACTTTCCCCCTGCATGACTTTATAAATAGAAACTTCCGTCTACATAGTCAGGATTATTATAGTCTGGGAATTTATCCTGGCCAGTGTGCAATATATAACAGCTAGAAAGACAATTATTCCTTCTCTTGGGACACATGGAGTATTCTGAGGTTTGCTAGGTGTTGTTTTTCCAGGGTAACCTTCTATTGTCTTTTCTTCTTGCCTTCTCTCAAATGCAACACACCTGTGTGTTTAAGCATCAGTTCTTTGGTGTGGCAGCTGCTTCTTGATTCCTGTGCTCTGCCCTCTACTGCAGCACATCTGGACCCTGGAGGCAGCGGTTGCAATCCTCAATGGTTCCAGGTCATACGCTGGTCGTCTAGCATCTGAACCTCCCTTCATGTGACCACAGAGTTCACTGTCTGGTGCCTTCTCAAGAGGCTTGCTGGTGTCTCCCTCAGCAGGAGTCTGAGCATTCCATTCCCATGGGAGAGGAAGGGACTTTATAAATGTTTGGTTCAGGTTGTTTATCAAGACTAATAATTTGGGTCTATCAGCCATAAAATCCTGGAAAATCCAGGCAAATGCATGGTCCCCAGAAAATTAGATTTCATGGCTTAATAGTTTATATCTTTACCCCCATTTTAGATATTTTGGGGCACAGCACCTAATAGTTGTATATTGACTAGCTGGAAAACAAGGTGCTATAACCCATGGTTTATGATCTTCAGGAAATATTTAGAGGAGGAAATACTTTAATGACATTATTTCATGAGAAATAGTATCCATGCCAAATCTGAGAACAATTGACAGTCACTGTTGATTCTTACTAAATAGTTTGTTGTCTGGCTCTTCAGTATTCACACACACACACACACACACACACACACACACGGGTATATGTATGTATATGCGTTTATATACATCTGGGTGTGGGTTATATGGTGGAAGGAACCCTTCCCCCATGGCCTTCCATTTGATTGTTATTTTGAACTGACTGGGTTTTAACACAGAGGAGCAAAGGCGGCTACACAGGAGCTGTGTGACTCCCAGTGACTCTAAGTTGTCACAAGAAGCATCTTCAGGACTGTGGCCAGTTTCCAGCCCTGCTGAGAAACCACTGGCATGTTTGAACGCTCCCCAGTTTGTTCCCTGCACCCCGTCAAGCACTGCCATCAGAGGGAATGCTCTAATTTTTATGTTCCTGAATAACACTCCCCATGGCAGGGATAATTTCCTTCACCTCCTCCCCAGTTACACCCCCTACCCAACGTCTCACTTTACCAGTGGGCAGGACCCTGCTGTATGTGTGTAAGAGATTTCCTCCCCGTTTCAGCGGAGGTTCATCATTTTCAGAAATGAATTCCCAGTCTTTCTGGAATGCCAGAGATCCAAAGGGAGAGACGATTGAAAAGCCTCATAGAAGGAGCCGACTCACCTGGATAGCTATGTGTCAATCAGCACATGAGCTTTCTTCGGTCCTGGATGGTTGGCTCTGAGCTACCTCTGCACCAAACTCTTTGAAAAGCTTTTGGCTGACTGAGGAATCTTCCCATAAAGTGTCAGCCATCTCTCTGCAAGCTCCTTTTGCAGCTAATGCCTGGCTCTCCTTGCTTCCTTATCCCATCAAACTGAACTACTTTTGGAACTTCATCAGCTTCGGTTCCTAAGCCCCATTTTATACAACTAACTGAACGCTGGGCTCTGGAGGTCAGGCCTACATCACTTGCAATTTCAGCACTGTTCCCAAACACACTACAGTCCTGTGGGCCAGAGATACAGGAAGAACTTTTTGGCTGCCACGTCATGGCTAGAGGAGGCGGGGTTGTCATGTTCCCACCCAAGGAAATCTATAATAAGAGAACAACTGAACGCCTCTCCTTGGATTAGCTCAGTTATCAGCCATTTGGAGTCAGGGCACTGCTTCAGGTGACCCCCTGCAGATCCTTCCTACTTTGGGCCTTTAAAATCATATTTCTTAGAGATGCAAATGGCTCAGTAAAGCTCATAATGAGGCATACTAGTCCAGTGTCTACATTTCCAATAATACAATCTTAATAAATATGTCATCACATTTTGCTAATCTGAAATTTTTGCCTTAAGACCATTCATGATGCTATTAAAATAACATTTTTATTTAAACATTATGCAGGAGTTGTTTCTTTTTTTCTCTTGCCGTTTTAATTTTTCAATAGCTGTGGTTTTTAATTTTTTTTTCTATAATAGCTGCTTCTTGAGTTCTGGAATAGTCATTTATTTGTATGGATTTTGGGGGGAAACCCACTGCTTCTCTCCACAAATGCACACCCTTGTCAATGTTTTATCTCTGCCAAAGTCATGATTGAGTTTTATTTATTTATTTATTTTGGTCATTGTATGGATGGATTTCTATATATTGCTAACTTGAACTGTCATTCTACTTATTTAAAAAAAAAAAAACTTTTGTTCTGGTAAAATGGAAAGTGTAATCTGCATCTATTGCCTAGGCAATTTCCTTTCTGTGTAGGTCAATTCTACTTTAAGACTTCAGTTTGGATAGTAAATTGTGTTGGCCACAAAGCACTTGTATAAATACAGCTATGTTGGGGCCTTTTTACCCTCAGAAATGCACTCCAGGAGTTCCCCATGAGTTTTCAACAAGCAGAGAATAAAAATAAATGTTTGTGATTGACAACTTTTTTCCAAATGTTTGAAACTTCACATAGAAAACAGTAAAGAGATGGCCCTCCCTCACTGTATATTAACATTTTAAGTAAAACCCTTTGTCCCAGTGTTATACAAGAAAGTTCAACAACAAAAGGAAGGAAAAAACAAAGTGAGAATAAGCTTCTTGGATACCATCCCTAGATGATGAAGTGCAGAAAACTGGAAAAACCTGACATCCTGCATGGAGACCCAGGAAATAACATGGCATGGCAAATCCCAGGGAAGAAAACTCATGTGTAAATCAAACAGAGCTCAAGGAAAAGACTGAAATTTCTTCTCTTCATGTTTCAAAAAGAATTCCAGAGGTCAAAGGAACAGGTGCAGGTGCAAATGTATATAAAAATAATGAGCAGCGCTCATGACAAATCAGGATAGCTACATTCAGTCATCTTTCATGTATGTCTAAACTCAGGCCAAGGGGCAATAAGTGTCCACTGTGCTTTAAAAGGTCTAGAAATAGAAAAATCAACACCCAAATCTTTTCTAATTCCACATGGCCATTTGTCACGAGATGACTAACAATGTCTGTGGGGTCAGGTTTAATACATTTGCACTGAGCTCGTACCAGGCAGTCCATAAAACTGTTGTCTTAGAATTTCTCCAGTCCCCACATGTGGCTGTTTTAGAGGCATTTCCAAACTTAAAACCCAGCTTCTATAGCTCTCCAAACCTCTTTTACCTGCTTAGAAATGAATCCCACCAGACCTCCACAAATCAAACTTTGTTAAATCATCCCCTATTGCTGATCAAACTCACTGCTCCAGCATTCAAAAAACAGAAGGCATAAAGGTGAATACAAACATAAGAAAGGAGTTTACATCTGGTCTTGCAGACTTTCCATATAGTCTCTAAAGTCCTGTGAATCCCCCAGCCCCATATCTTGGCAGACCCACTTGATGTTATCATCGCTGTCAAACAGGATGGAGTTGGTGTATGGGCCGCCGTCCTCTGGGAGGATGGTGGTGTAGGAAGTGAACTTGACTCTCTTCCTCTTTGGGCCCGAAGAATTCATAGGTTCATTTTTAATTTCTTTCTCATAGACATAGTCAGAGGGTCTGAGTAGTTGACTATGAAAAGTCTTCTGGGAACTGCCATTCAGAAGGAAGTTCCTCTCCTCGAACTGCAGGCCCCTGTCTATCATGGTTGTGCACTCCTCTGATGGGAGTGTAATGTCAACAGGGTTCTCCAAAAGTTCCACTTCATTCCCAAGCCAGACCCAGTCGTGGGAATGGGGGATGTTGCCCTGCTCACTCACAGCAAACCTTTTGTGTCTGTATTTCCAGGCAAACGCCACGCAGTTGATCAAGAAGACCAGAATGGCCAGACAGAAGACGCAGAGCAAGGCATACATGCCAATCTCCAAGTCCGTTAGCCCCCTTGAGGTCACTGTGAGGTCACTAGGATTATTGGGGTCCGGTGACTTCCCTTGAGTGGGGAAGCTTGTAAAGGCATCTGGACCACCACTTTTGAGTAACTTATTCTTCCCTTCCATGGGAGACTGGGGGGTTGTGCTTTTGTTGGTACTTTCCTCTTGGCCAACAGGTGTGCCACGGTGGAACCATTCCTGGACTGCTCTCTCCTGGTTTCCTTCGCGCTCTATGGAATTACTGAGGTGGTCTTTATATTCCCGATTTATGCCCTCAATATCATTGCTGCCTCCTTGGTGCTCATCACTACTTGGTTCGAATTTGACCTTGACATTTCCTTTACCCACGGCAAGAACACTCTTCCTCTTGGTCTTCTGACAAGGTTCACTTATCATCATTTCTAACTTAATCAAAGGCCCTTGTCCTTCACCCTCTGCAACCACAATTGGCCATTTGGACTCAAGGTTTGCCTGGACAGACACCACCATTTCATCCAATGATGAGACAGTAACAGAATAATCCTTAGGATCGTAAATGTCTAAAGGTGTCACCGAACCATCACTGAACAAAATCCAAGAACTTACTATTGCTTCCTGAGGAAAATGAAACCAAAGCATTATGTTATAATCAGATTCCTTCACATTTGAAAACATAAGTATAATTTCCTATATAAATTGTTTAAATATAAGGAGAAGATTTCTATAGTTTTATAATCTTGAACAGTTCTTGTTATGCCTTGAACTGGTTGAACCGGCATCAATAATGTGCTGTAGCCTCACTGGTACAAGGAATAAATAATATACTTTAATGACTGCATTAAACTATAAATTAATTTATTGCATACATACAATAGAATTTGACTTTGACCTTTTTAAAAACATTTTGAAAGATCAGGCAATTTATCTGAATCAATTTCAGGTGCAACAAATCAGGCTACTGCTCAAGATAATATCACTTTGAACACTCTTCATTAAGAAGCCAGTGGTGATGGAGCAAAACATGCACTGGCTGGAAGGACTCGGGAAGGTGCATTGTGAGGCTGGCTGGCTTGAATGGTACAGTGGCTCTGGTATCTTTAGAAATAATTTATAGAAGTTTAGAGATGGGAGGACGTTTTAGAGTTGACCATACTTATTGTAAACAGTAGCAATTTGGTGCCTGTTAGCCATGCTTAAGTAGCTGAAATGGAATTTCCAAGTATCAAAAACCACCTGCTTTGGCAAAAGTGAAAACACGTGATCCTTTGGTCATGGTCTAGCAGCAGGCTGTGCCTGTCACAGATAAGCCCAGGGGAAAGCAAATGGCGTATAAGGATGTGGTCAGCGTGGAAAAGCACATAAGAGGAAATGTGTCTAAGCCACTGAATACTTTTCTCAGAGACAGGGTGGCCTGGATAAGAAGCAAGAAGCTTCAAGAATCCCCAGTCCTAGGCGTGAGGGCTCTCCTGCTCTCCTTCGCAGGATGTGCTAACTGAGAGAGAAGTCATCCCCACTGACCAAGGACGCAGGGCCCCTGGAACGCTCACCTGCTGTGGGGACTGAAGAACATCCAGGGCAGCAGCTGTGGAGACGATGGCCCTTTTGTCTGCTCGGTGTGGCTGCAGGGAGAGAGACATGCCAGCTACGAGCTGCACTCCCAGCTCCGCGATGGTGACTCGGTCATCCAGGACAATCACCGTCTTCTCAGCCAGGATGGAGTCAGACAACGGCGAGAGGACCTGAAAAGTCAGCGAGGAGACTCATGCATCTCTGCTCCTCATGAGCACCATGAATCCCTTAACTGGGGCTCCCAACAAAGTGCTCTCCCAGCCCTTGGCTCAATGCATGCATTTGTGGGAATCGGTTAGGGAAGTATTATGCCGTTGTTCAATCACACTTCACAATTACAGGAGTTTTATAAAGATCATCTTGGTCTATTTACTTTCCTCTGATTTATGTCATGATAACAGCAGTATATTTTCTGAAAGAATCTTGATTTAACTTACAGGCAATAATAAAAAACTGTCCATTGATATTAGGTACTCAAAGAGCAACATTTTCCCAACAACTAATATTTAGAATGGCACAGCTGGCCTTAAAACAGGGCAGGCATCCTGTATTACTTAGGTGGACCCAATGTAATCACATGAGTCCTTAAAAGCAGAGACCTTTTCCTGGCTAGGGGCAGAAGGGGAAGCCAGAGATTCACAGTGTGAGAAGGACTCCATCCAGCCATTACTGAAGGCGGAAGGGACCACGTGACAAGGAATACAGGTGGCCTTGCAGCAGAGTGACCCCTGGTGACCCCTGGCTGACAGAGTGCAAGGAAACAGGGACTTTGGTCAGTCCTAAAATCACAGAGAACTAAGTTCTGCCAACAGCCTGAAGGAGCTTGGAAGCCAAGCCTTTCCCCAAACTCCCAGATAAGAGCCCAGGCCAGCCGAGACCTGGAGTTCAGCCTCATGGTGCCCTGAGCACAGAATACAGCAGGCCCACACAGATGCCTGACCTGCAGAAATATTAGCTGACTAACGGGTGTTTTTTAAGCTGCTAGTTTGTGGTAATTTGTCACACAAGAATAGAAAACACAGAACATACCATGTTTCATCCAGCTTTGCCAAAAATATAGCTTTGGCTACAATAAAATCTGACTTAGTTAACTCTGAGCGGAAACATTTTAAGTTTGTATAAAGAAATATTCTGCACCATTTCTGCATAATTATCCTGTCAAATTGGCTAGAAAATAATTTAACTATCACTGTGATAAAGAATAGCTACGGATTATTATATTTTTAAAAACTTTTGTCTACTGTACAAGGTATGATACAACTAAAAGGTTAAAATTCAAGGTTAGGAGGAAAAACACTAGCTTTCAGCAGTATAACCACCTTCTATTGGTGATACACAAAATGGAGAATATGATGTTGGGGAAAAGATTATTTACACTACATGTTTCATTTAGCCTTCTTGGTAAAAGGGATTAGATATTTTTCTAAAGCCTCTAAAATACAAAAATTAATCTGAGTTTAGGTTATTAAAATTGGTGAATGCTCTATTGCTTCCCAGGATTCTCTTACAAACAAACAGAGGCAATACATGCACAGTGACACACGTTGATATACATGTCCACATGCACATGTGCACACAGACACACATCTGCACAACAGCATCTACCTGGCCACTCATCAACACAGACTGCTGTTGGGCAAGGCATGGCGGCGTGTACCTGCACCGTGGTTATTCCCGGCTCCCGACCAGCCAGGGTCCTGCCGTCCTGTAACTGAGCGATTTTCGGCTCCTCCACCTTCATGAACTCGGTCACAAGGTCAGTGATGTCAAACTGCCAGTCGGGGCCCAGCATGTAGGTCAGCTGCCCTAAGTCAGGTGACTCGGCCACAAACTGGGTGAGGACACGCACTGTGGCGTGCTGGTACTGCAGGGAGCAGCCTCGTCCCTTCTTCTCCTCATCGTCCTCGTCATCGCTTTCCCGGGTAGGCCTGGAGCACAAGGAATCGAAACAGAACAAAGTCTTCATTGTTAAGAAGTTCTGCATGCCCTTGTTTTTCAGATTCTAGGTGAGCCCACAGAATGAAATGAAATGGTCCTTCTCCTGCAGGACCTGCTCAGCCATCTATCCACTCCCAGTTCATTCACTCATTCCACAAGCACACTTTGATGAGGATGATGTGCTTTCTGCTTGCAACAAGAATGGCAAGGGCAGCTCCTGCCTTCCTGACCCAGACAGAGGCTGAGGCTCTGGTCTTGGCGTCCTGGAAACTGGTAATTTTAAAATCATTCCCCTGTGGGATGGAGGAACCTAAGATATGAGTCAGAACTGCTGTTTGGATTCATTTTGACCCCTCCCATTGGACCTCATGCCAAGTTCTCTACCCTCTCACAGGCTCAGCTACCTCCCCTTGGAAATGAACATAGGAACAGCTGGCCCCTTTCCTCTCTCATAGTACCACATGAGGACCAAGTAGGTCAAGATATGATGACACCTCAGAAATGGCCCTTTAGGAACCCCAGACCAACCAGGAACCATCAGCAGTGGACGGTTCTAACACCCGACCTCCTCATCAGCTGAGGTCCTTGAGTCTGTACAGAAAGAAGCAACTTCCTGAGCTTATGGCCCTAAAGTTTGCCAAAGGATCCTCTCCTTCCACCATCCTACCCTAATCTAAAATCACTGCTCTGTGAGCAAACCTGCTCAAGCTACTGCTAAAACATCTGAAATGTGTCTCTCCTGTTGCCCATCCTGGCTTCTCCCTTCCTTCCTTATGGCTCTGACCCTTCCTCTCTCCCTGGCACCTGTTATCCTCTAACCTCCACCTGTCCACAATCCACCCTGAGAAAGTCTCTCTGGCTCTGCAATTCCAGAACGTTCCCCTCAAGAAGTAGCAGTCCTGTGTCCCTTTATGAGAGTGCTTTGTTTGGTGACTACTGACCAGTCTGTGCCCTCAGTGCCTGGGGATTCTGTCAGGGGAGAAGGGGGGAAGGGGAGTGACTCATGCATGCTGAATTAGACCTACTGTGTGTCTTCTTCCACGTGCTTACATAATGATGAGAGCGGACATCCATCGCCCACGCAGCACACAACAGCCGTGCATATTTAATTCATGTAATCTTCACACACCCCCAAAGAGCAAGGTTGAATTATTTCCCTGATCTTACCAATGAGGAAACCAAGACATGGTTTGTGCGGCCACTCAGCCAGGGCCACACAGCTGGTTGTCTCCCGAGGCAGGGCCCACACAGCCAGACCAGCTGCCCCATCATGTGTGTCCTCTTCCTTTCTATAGCTAAGTCCATTCATCTTCACAACAGCTATGAAACATGTTCTTATTTTTGCATAAAGAAACCAGGCTCAGAGTGGTGAATATGTAGCCCAGATAGCTGGCAATTAGCAGGTCTGGATACAGCTCCATTTGACTTCTGAAACCCACCTTCTTTACTATATGACATTCCGCCTCCCTGAAAGGTCTGAGAACCATTTATAAAATGGTAGAAAAATTTTCACCAGCACAATAGCATAACAATTTTGGTTTCCCAAAGTAAGAAATGAGTATCTCCGTGAGTAAGAGAGATGGTGTTAGGTGGCAAAGAAACATAGCATTCAATTAAAAAAATTGAATAACATACTGAAAAGTTATTCCCATTTTATTTTCCAGTCCTTCTGAATATGTCACAGGGAATGTCTCTGTTCTGTGCTAGGATGTCTTTAAAGCTTCTCGGAACTAACTACTTTCCTTTAGTTAATAAAGACAAGCTCACATAGGCAGGCAATAGTGTCTACTCAGAATTTAACAACATTGTTTAATTTTCTTTGCAATAATTTTAGGTTAAATTTATTTTATGATAAATGACACTAGTTGACCATTTGTGCTAGCAATGGGAAGTTTCCTTTAAATTAATGGGTAAAATTTAAGAAGAACACCACTAGGCTTGTGTTTCACTAAAATGTGGCAGTATCATAACAATGGTCAATGAATACATCAGATGTTATAAATCCTGTAGTAATGAAACAAAATAATCCTGTTATTTTAGGATAGATTGTATCCTATTCATTTATTTAAACTTTTAATTTCAAAATAATTAGAAATTCACTAAAAGCTAAAACAACAACAACAACAGAAAAAAAAAAAAAAACAGGAGATCTTATACACTCTTTATGCAATTCCCTGAAGTTAGCATCTTCCTAACTATAGGAAAATATCAAAACCAGGAAATTGGCAATGGTATACATAGAGCTTATTAACATACAAGCATAACTTATTACAGTCTAATGATACCAAAGCTTTGCTACTTTGAGTGTAGATACCTTAGTTCCCTGTAAGTCCCATTACCCTGACCGCTTTTAACCCAAATGTCCAACAATGATAGACTGGATTAAGAAAATGTGGCACATATACACCATGGAATACTATGCAGCCATAAAAAAGGATGAGTTCATGTCCTTTGTAGGGACATGGATGAAATTGGAAACCATCATTCTCAGTAAACTATCGCAAGAATAAAAAACCGAACACCGCATATTCTCACTCATAGGTGGGAATTGAACAATGAGATCACATGGTCACAGGAAGGGGAATATCACACTCTGGGGACTGTGATGGGGTGGGGGGAGGGGGGAGGGGTAGCATTGGGAGATATACCTAATGCTAGATGACGAGTTAGTGGGTGCAGCACACCAGCATGGCACATGTATACATATGTAACTAACCTGCGCAATGTGCACATGTACCCTAAAACTTAAAGTATAATTAAAAAAAAAAAAAAAAAGGATACAATTGTTTTAAGTATGTTTTTCTGTCTATCCTAAGTACCACATCACATAATGTCATAATTTTCCCTTTGAATACCAAACATGATGTAAAAAATTGATGCGAAGGAAAGTCTATCCTATTTAACAGTGTTTTTACTCATTCTATCATTCTTCTTTCCTTTCTGAAGTTCCAAATCCTTTTCCATTATAATTTTTTCTGTTCCATTAGCCACCCTTTAAAGGTAGGTCTCCTGAAACAAACTCTCCAACTTTTGTTCATTTAAGAATGTCTTTATTCTCGTTTCATTCCTAAAGGATACTTTTGCCAGGTAAAGAATTTGAGGCTGACAGTTCCTTTCTTTTAGCGCCTGAAAAATGTGCCAAATCCTTCTGGCCTCCGTGGTTTCAGGCAAGAAATTCATTGCCATTCAAATTGGTATAACCTCTCTCTGGATGTTTTTAAGACTGTCTTTGTCTTTAATTTTCAGAAGTTTAATTACTATGTGTCTTCACATGGATTTCTTTGGGTTTATCATGTTTGTGGTTTCCCAAGCTTTTTGAAACTATGTGTTTATGTCTCTTGACAAATTGGAGAGGTTTTCAGCCATTATTTCTGCAAATACTGTTTGAGCCCGACACCTTTTCTCCTCTTGTTCTCGGATTCTAATTACGGGAATCCTAGATCTTTTGTTATGGTCCCACAAGTCCCTGATGCTCCGTTCCCTTTTTCCCCCAAGACTATTTTCTCTGTTATTGAGATTAAGTAAATTGCATTGTCTGTCCTCAGGTTCATTGATTTTATCCTCTGTCATCTCCACTGTACTGCCGAGCCTATTGAGGGCTTTTGTTCTCCCTCTTTCCTATATTTTCTATAATTTACATCTGGTTCTTTTTTATAAGTTATATTTCCTTGCTGAGATATTTTCCATTTTAATTGGTTCCAAGGCTATTTGTAATTTCCTACTGAAAGCTTTTCTTTTTTCCTTTGGTATGGCTGCTTTAAAATCCTTGTCAGATATTCTAACATCTGATTTATCTGGGCACTGCCATCAGTTGATCATCTTTTCTCATTCAAGTTGTGGTTTATCTAATTCTTGGTATGACAAATGAATTTTTTCAGTTATATTCTGGACGTTCTGTATATTATGACAGGAAACCCTGGGTGCAGCTGAAATCTATTGTAGTTAAATTTGCTTTGTTTTAGTGCATATGTCCTAGCCTACTTTTGTGCACTTAAGTTCTAATGAAAATTTGGCTTGAGAGCCCTCAGGTGCTATTCTGGTCTGTTTTGTTCCCCTGGCACTGTGGATTCCCACAGTGAAGCAGGAATCCCACTTGAATCCCTCTGGGTTTGCCCATAGGAGACGAGGGCACTTCCCTGGGCTGGGTGGAGGCTGGAAGATGTCAGGCAGGCAGGGCAGTATCACTTCCCCCAGCGGCCCTTCAAGTTTCAGCAAGGGTTTTCGAGATCCACCTTGGCCTTTTGTTTAAAGCACACTTTTCTGACAATGAATCTCTTAAAATTTATTCATCATTTGCTGTCTGGAAATACTGAAAATTTCAACATCATCAGGTCCCTGTTTCTTTTTGTCTCATAGCCCTTCCAAAATTTTCTCTATCCTCTTGCATTCTGCTATTAGCAGCAAGATGAATCCAAGTGCACATTCAGTAGTTTGCCTGGACTTCTCCTCAGCTAACTATCTGACCTCACTTGCTTTCCACACACCTGCAGGGAACAACCTTGCTAAGCACTCTGTCACCACCTAACCAGAATCCATGCTCCTCACCTCCCCCTGAACCCTCACTGGCAGCGTTTTTGAAGTTCAGATTTCTACTTCCCATTTGTCCACAATGATCTCGGCTTTCTGTAAGGTGACTTGGGATTTCTCTACAATGATCCTCATGCATCATGCACAATGTCTTTAACACCCACGTTTCTACTAACAATCTGTTCAAGGCAGTTGAGGCTTTTTCCATGATGCTCCTCAAAATCTTCCAGCCTCCACTCACTGCCTGATGCCAAAGGCACGCTCACATTTGAGGTATGAGTTACGGCTACATTCCACCCCTGGGCAACAGGCTCTGTATTAGTTTTCTATTGCTGCATGACAAATGACCACAAACTTCATGGTTTAAAGCAATGCCCACACCAACACACTCACAGTTCTGCAAGCCAGTAATCCAGGCAGGCTCAACTTAAGTCTCTACACAGAGATTCACAAGTTCAATATTAAGGCGTCAGCTGGGCTGGTCTCTTATCTGGAAGTGCTAAGGAAGAATCCACTTCTAAGATCAGCCAGGTTGTTGACAGAATTCTGTTCCTAAGGTTATAGAACTGAGGCCCTATTTCCTGGCTGGTTGTCATTTGGAGGCTGCTCTCAGCTACTAAAGATTACCCACATTCCTCAGCAAGTGGCTCAATCCACCTTCAAAGCCAGCAGTACATCATCACGTTGTTCTCATCCTCAAATCTTCCCAACTTCCCCTTCTGCTACCAGTTGGCAGGAACTCTCTGCTTGCAGAGGGCTTATCTGTTGGGTCCCACCACCTGGCTAATCTCTGTATTTTAAGGTCCATTGATTTGGGATTGTAGTTACATCTGTAAAATCCCCTCCCAGCACTACCAGATTAGGGTTTGAAGAAGCAGGAGATGGGGATCATGGGGAGGGAGACTTTTTTTTTTTTTTTTTTTTTTTTGAGACGGAGTCTCGCTCTGTCACCCAGGCTGGAGTGCAGTGGCAAGATCTCGGCTCACTGCAAGCTCCGCCTCCCGGGTTCAGGCCATTCTCCTGCCTCAGCTTCCCGAGTAGCTGGGACTATAGGCGCCCACCACCACGCCCAGCTATTTTTTTTGGATTTTTAGTAGAGACAGGCTTTCACCATGTTAGCCAGGATGGTGTCGATCTCCAGACCTCGTGATCCGCCTGCCTTGGCCTCCCAAAGTGCTGGGATTACAGGCGAGAGTCGTCTTTAGAACTGTCTACTATAGTATGTATCCATTCACTGAGTTCTGGGGACAACCCTTCAGTAATGTTATCATCCCTAATTGATAGATGAGGAAACTGAGAAAGAGATAGGTTAAATCACATGTCCAATGTCACACAGGTACAAGTTGTAAAGCTGGGGTTAAAATTCAGGCAAAAAAAGGAAGAGTCTTGCCCGGCGCGGGATGGTGGTGGGGAACAACTCAGGCAGCCTTATCCCACAGCCCACGGTCTTAACCACTGTACTGTGCTCCATGGAGGAAGGCTGACATTTACAAGCAGGGGAACTGAGAGTGAATAACATAGGAATGAACAATAAAGAAGTGAGTAAGGAATAGAAAATAGCTATGTCCTAAATGCCACATCTTGTGCTAGGTGCTTGTTATGTATTGCATTCGTTTTACTGAATCCTAGCAACTATTCTATGAGGTTGTTACTATTATTATTATTATCATCTTCATTATAATTTCCTCATGTCAAGGTGCTAGTAAGTACTCAAGTCAGATCCATCTGAACCCAAAGCCCAGACCACGCTTCCCGCTGTGGATGTTGCTTCCCAATGGCTTGAGTCCCTGAGGGCCAGTTTGCCTCCCACAAAGATCTGGACTCCAGGACAATCGGATCCACAGCCTTCTCTTTGATTCCTCACCTTCTGTTGGCAGCAACCGGGATCCTCCAGCCCTTGATCTGGCTCAGCTCGGTGTCTGAGATCTCAATCTGCAGGGGGAGCCTGGGTGCCCAGACAGTGACCTCGAACTGGGAGGTGAAGTGCTGGTGGGTGAAGTTCACAATCGTGTCCACTTTGCTCTTCATTTCCTTCCCATTCACAAAAATGGAATCACAGTTGTTGGAAACCTTTGGGAAGGAGGTAGAACCTTGAGATGCATCAGTAGGAAAAGCACAAGGAAAAAACAACAACAGTGAAAGTTCATGAACTGCAGCAGCTCTGATTTATTAGACACCAAAACAACCCAATGAACAGAACTTGTACAAAAGGTAATTTGTAGGCACTAATTAGTGACAAACACTGACAAATAGACTCCAGGAAAACTATTTTGTATTACAAAATACTGACAAGTAAAACCATTAACATAATTTAATGGAGTTATATAACCTCTGTTGCCTTTTGTGTGTATGTGTGTTTTTCTTTATCTTACCTTTTTTAGGTACTCAAACGATCACTAATCAAACCCCAGGTGCCTCATAGTTCACTCTTGCACCATATCTGAAGATGCATAAAAGGTTTTTATGTTACTGAAAAAGCACATTATTCAAGTCATACTGAGGTTCTCTGAAAAATCAGGAGAGCTTTGCACTAGATTAAAATCCTGGTAGGCAAAATAGTTGTGAAATGCATTAGAAACATGGATATAATTATTTTTGCCCCATTCAGCTATAATTTTGCAGAACGAATGTGGCATTTCACCGTGGTCTTTTGACTCAGCACTTGGGGGTGGCCTCTCTAATGTGCATGCTTCAGTAGGTTGAGCATTAGACCATTTAAGTCCCCATTTTACTTCACATTTTCAGGATAAGCAAATAAATTGTGGCTGACTTTCTCTCCTGGACAATCAGGAAAATGTATTTATGTAACTAGGTAGAGAGAAGAAAGAGGGATCACAAATCGTTTCATGAGCAGAGGACAGAAAATAAAAAGTATTGTGCAACCTTTGCATTCATACTGCTGAGGGGCAGTGTCAAGCCTGTGCTGCTGGCAGGGCCCCCACCTCAACCAGTGGGGCCACCACAGCCCCACTTTTGCAAGCCAGAAACTGGGACTTATTCTTGTTGCTTCTCTTCCTCACTTGAATCTGTAACTACAACTCAGGCCTCCCTTCTGAGCCCCAGACACACGTGCCCAACTGCCTATTTGACATGGTCAAGTGAATGGCTCAAGAACAATGTCAGAAGTGCCCACTTCCAAACTTAAAGAGTAAACTTCCAAGTGGTTTGAGATAAATTACCACCTCGCCACCCACCCCGCCAAAAAAAAATGGCACTAATACGAATGTGCTTCCTTGGAAATGAAACCGGCCTTTTGCCACCCAACAGCTCTACACTGTAGCTTGACATGGAAACCAAGGAGAAAATAGCTAATGGGACACTTAAGACTCACCCTGCATCCCCAGTCACAGGGATGGATCCTTGTCACTTCCACTTCTCAACACCAATGACGTCTTTAGGAATCCTTAAGTATAATTAACATAGGCTGCTCATTGGGAGATCTGCTGAAATCATTGAGACTTTGACTTGATAATCCCAGTCCACAAAGCAATGAACAAGGATTGCTGAAGAGTTACTGGAGTCTGGCTAAGTTCATTTTTGGAGCCCCTTTCCTATCCTGTCAGAACTTAGCAGTCTAAAGTCTTTTTCCTTCCAGGCCTAAGATGGTAGTAGATAGAGCTACCATTAGGCCTGATAGCTAATGTGTCTCTCATCCCCAAAATTCCACAGGGAGCTGAATATGGCATTTCTTTAACTTTTCAAATTAAAAAAAGAAAAGAATCTACTTCTATCCCTCTCTTTGCTTTATTTTATAAAAAGAGAGAGAAGAACAACAATGAAGCAAGCAAATTAGCTGTATTTTAGAGCATGTTTGAGGCAGTTAAATCTGCTTCATTGTGCCCAGGACTGTAAAGAGAATAATCAGAACAAGATCTCCATTCAGAGAAGAAAATGGAGTGGAGGGTCATGTTCTTATTTTTAATAGATGCTGACACAATGCTGAGCCTGACTGCCATCCATTTAGGTACTCAAGGTGTGGAAGCCCCATTATAGAGAAATATCTGCCTTCCCAAGGAAGCATTGCACTAGGAGAAGGTGAAGGCTCAGTAAGACCTCTGATTTCCCCTGAACTCACTGCTTGTTCTGCCTGTGGCATGCAGACTACCTCGAGAGAAGGAAGTCCCCCCAACCCTGCTCAGAAAAAAAGAGATTGAGGCCCCCTGTGATTTAGAAACCTGCAGTGGATACATTGGGGAGTTCTGCTCTCACTTCTCCCTAGCTCAGGTGGTTATCACCTATTGCCAGAACTTTCTCAGTCCAATGTTCTGTAGTGCAGACCTCAAACCTCTTGCATTTGTGGAAAATTACGGTTCTCCCTTGTTTACTGCTACCCAACCACCCCCAATCACACATCAAATCACTCTGAATCACATCCCACTGGAGAGAACACACCAGTTTTGGAAACTGTGAGGCCCTTTCTATGTTCATAAGGAATGAAATAATGTAACTGTCTGCATCCTTTCGGAGCACTACAGTCTTAAACCTGCCCCATCTTTTAGGAAGTGATGTATAGCTCATATGGGAAAAATAAATTAATTAAAAACATAACAAAGTAAGAGGGCTTAGCAATTCTTTATGTTGACTATCTTTTGAGTTTTTTCTCCTGGGACATGCATACCCTTAAAAAAGTGTATGCCTCCATTTTAAGTAATTCAATTAAAACAGCACAAATAAGGCTAATCATACTGAGTACTAAGACTTGAGGTATCTAACAACGTACAAAGGATATATTAGATATACAGAAACCAGAGTTTCTCACTTCATGGTCTCACCAATTACAGATGACCCTCATTATTTGTGGATTCCATATTTGCAAACTCATCTACTCCCTAAAAGTTATTTGTAACCCCAAAGTCAGTACTTGCAGTACCTTCCTTTTTTGGTCATTTGTGGAATTGCACAGAGAGGGGAAAATTTTGAACCACCTGCCATGCACGCATCCCCAGTTGAGGTCAAGCAAGTACTCGCTCTGCCTTCTTGTCTCAGCTCTCATACAAAGACCAGAGCATGGACAATATAGGGGGCAGTGGAGCACTGTGTGGGAAGCTTCAGCTTGGGCGCTGGATCCAGTAGGACAGAATCTGAATCCCTACTCTGGCACCTGTTAGTGAGGCAGCCTCAGACAAGTCACCTAACACTTCCAAACTTCAATATTTCTTTTGTAATAGAAGATTACAGACTATTAGAAATGTGTGTGTGTGTGTGTGTGTGTGTGTCTATTTCTCCTACAAGCAAAGGTTCAGTACTCGCTAATTCAGTGTTCATAGGCATTTTATAACTATCTCAAATAATGAGAACAAGACAGCTCATACTTGTACAGGACCTCATTGCCGCAACACTCTCCTTTCAATGCAGTAAGTCCCACGGTAATGCCACGAGGTGGGTGCCATGAGCCTCATTTTACCTGTACTGAATCCAGCATAGAGAAAGGGACCGCCTCTTGCACAGCATTTTGCGTGTGTGAGCCGGCACCTGACTGCTGACTGCTGGCCCAGGGCTGTCTCCTCTGCTTGGATCACCTCTGTCCTCTCCAGGAACTTCTGCTATACCAGATACAATCCAAACACCTTACAGGGGCCTACCAGGCCCTAATGCCCTGGACCTGCCTCCTTCTCTGGCCTCACCTTGCACGCCCTCCCTACCCGGCACAGGCCCCTCTTCATGTGTCTTCACTGCTCCCCTGAGCTCTCCTAGGCTTAGCCCCATCCCAAGGCCATGCCATGGTCTTCTGAGGATATGATCTGATGTCCTTCATAAGTGGTTTTCTACTGGCCAGTCAACTATGCACCAGCACCTCTGCCCGACACACATACACTTTCCTCTTTTCTAATACTAATAAGGTTTTCTTCAGGAAATCCACTGCCCTCCATTCACCACAGGCCTCCCTACCTCCATCATTAAACCCGCATCTGCTTTGCCAATGATTGGTTTAGGGGAAAGCATGTGCTATTACTCTGGCCAGTGAGCTGTGAGAAGGCTACTGGGGCTTCTGGGAAACATCTCCTTGATCAAAGAGACTCACCGAAAGTGGCGCCTCCTCCTCGCACTGCATGTTGTCCTGTGGGAACTGACGACAGGAACTGCTGCAGGGATCTCGGAGCCCTGAGGGAGCCAGCCGTGGCCCAGACTGACCCCGGAAGCTAAGGAACCCGGGCCCTCGATGGCCTAGAGGAGCCGCTGGACCAGCCCACCTGGACCCCCCGACTTTGAGGCGTTTTATCAGGTGATTGTCGTTCTTGTGGCTAAAGCCATCTTGGTCTATGTGGTTTTGTTACTTGCCACCAAAAGGATTATAAATGACATAGGACTGCATCTCAAATGCCACCCCTCAGAATGCATTCCCGGAGCCACTCCTAATTTAAACTTGGCACCCGCCTCTGGTCACTATTTTCCTGTATCTAATTTGCTGTGTGTGCTACTGTGTACACTGAATTTACAACATTGCTCCATTACTTAGACTCTTCCTATTGCTTATATCATGTCACTTAAACTGTATTAATTGCACCAGATTGCTCTGTTATATAATGTACTTCTTCACAATAATTACCACTCTCCTAATGCTCCTGGTTGTTTCTTATCTATCTTCCCCACCTGATGGTAATCTGCTTCAGAACATGGACCTTTCTCCTTTTCCCTGCTGTCTCTGCTAATAGCACAGCGCCATAGAAGTTATTCAATAAATAGATGCTGAGTGTGTGAATGAATATGTCACAACTGTTTCCTCTGAGACCCATTCATTTCTGTACACCACCATCAGTAGTGTGTGTATCTGTAAGAAGGCAAAGAAGGTGACTTACACAAGGTTATCATGGTAATGACATTAAGAAAAGTGAAAGTGATTTCATATATTATGAGAGAAGACAGACCAGAAGGAACAAAGCTGATAAATGTGAGGCCTTGGATTCCCAGTGGTCAATTGGCCTTTTAACTCAGAATTAAGATCTCTATGTGTGAGGTACATGTGTGTTTTATTGGCAGGGGAAGGAGGGGTGTGGGGAGATGACAGGATGACATAGCAAAATAAAGATCAGAGCCAGATTCCCATCATTCATCTAACTGATACCTTCAGGGCTCTCTGAGCCTCAAGAGGAACATTGAAAACCAAATGCTGTCAATCCTAATATAAGAAGAGCTGAGGGCAGGAACATGGAGATTGAAAACAGATGATTTGTGTCATGTTAATCTGTGAGCATGTGTGAGGTGGCTTGTAAATGTCATCCTGGGAAAGTTGCCTTTAGAGGTTAATATTTTTACTGTCAAATTACACTTTTGCAACTACATTGCTTTATAATAAAAGAGGCTAAAAGGGGCTCTCCAGATGTGAATATGTTTCCTTTGGGTATCTTGTAAGACACATCATTTACTTCATGTTCTATTTTAAAAAGAAGCAAGAATTTAATCTGTGCATCAGCCACCCTCTGTGTTTGCCACACTGTTGACCCACCTGCCTGCCCTGATGGGAGGCTGACTGCACGTTGGGCTTCCCTCACGACCCCTCTGCCAACCCGAGACATGTGCTGCTATGTTAGAAGAAAAAAAAAATGCTACAGAATCAGGTAGTATGTTTCTCACAAACGTACAAACAATGCTGAAATTCTACATTAAAAGAGGCAAAAAGAATCAAAACTATGTAGAGAAAAACCTTAGATATTCACTTATCATCTGAATCACTTTGTATGTATTACTGAGTTTAGTGAAGTGTACTGTGTCTGAGGCGCAGTAGGTACTCAAAAATATTCCTTTTACCTTGAGTTTTTAACTAATAATAAATGCCAAAAGGAATAATAATATATATCATGTATTAAGTTCTTACTATGAACCCTGCGTTGTTTTCAAAATTTTATGTAGAATTATACCCGTTAACCTCTCCAAATACTCTGTACATTACATTTTTGTCTCTATATTATGGAGAGTAGACTGAGGCCAAGGAGAGGCTGCTAGTTAAGGAATCACAGCTGGTGAAAGGCAGAGCATGTTTCCCACTCAGTCTCTCTGTGCCAGAGGCCTCCTCAGCACTGTGTTACTGCTTCAGTGCAGCCCAGGCAAGGACAACATGGCCCTTCCTCCAGAGGACCACAGGCCGATTGGGAAAGGCAAGACCTAAATACACACATCAGTACTTTTTATCAACCAGATTGAGTTATAATTTATGTGGAATACAGTGTATCCATTTAAAGGATAAAGTTCAATGAGTTTGGCAGTGTCCACCCATGAAAACACTACACAGACAGAACATTCTGTCACCCCAAAAACAGATCCTAATGCGTCTTTTCAGTCCATGGCTCCCTCTTCTCCTGGCCCCAGGCAACCACTGATGTGCTTTTCGTCACCACAGATTGGTTTTCATTTTCTAGAATTTTATATAAATGGAATCACAACATGCACTCTTTATGTCTGGCTTTTTTCACAAGTATGATGATTCTGAGAGTCATCCTTATTGTTACTTGTGTCAGTGGTTACCCCAGGCTCTTTTCCCTGGTTGCTTTCAGCCACAATGATGGAAATGCAACATTTTTTCTCTTATTTACCTATGACCTGGAAGTCCCCTACCCGCTTCAAGTTGTCCCCCCACTTTGCTTCCAGTTGTCCCACCTTTCCGGATGGAACCAATGTTCATCTTACATATATTGATTGATGTCTCATGCCTCCCTAAAATGTATAAAACCAAGCTGTGCCCTACCACCTTGGGCACATGTCTTCAGGACCTCCTGAGCCTGTGACACGGGCGCATGTCCTTAACCTTGGCAAAATAAACTTTCTAAGTTGACTGGGATTTGTCTCAGATATTCAGGGTTCACAAAGCTAAAGAAATAAGTTCAGATCTCCGATCCGCTCTCTATGTTGAGTATCCTCTGATCCCCGCTGTATGTTGAGTTCATTCTTAGTTTTTGTGTATTTAAAGCAGCCTGGATTATTCTCTGATAAAAATCGGAGACAAAATCAAGACAGCCAGATCCCCAGTTTCAACTCAGAAATGTAGAGCACTGAAAAGCATTTCTCCCACCCTTATCAAACTACAAATTAATAATTTTTATTAAGTTTGTCTGAGAACTGTGGCTGCAGGGTAACAAACTAACCTGCAATCTAGAGAAAGACATGATTCTTCAGGGAGAAATATATATTAAGCATTTGCTTCCCTGGAGTAGACATTGCTGAAAGCCACATAAGCTGATAAGAAGGATTCAAGCAAAACTTTTAGATACATTTCTACAGAACAAATGTGGACTATTGTGAGAGTGTAAAGACCCTGGGGACTGTAAATACAGGGGAGTTTGCACCCTCTTGCAGGTTCTAAGAATCTCACCAGACACTTAGAGAGAAGATGTGAGATAATCTCAAGACAGCTTCCTTCATGATCCTGGCTGCAGAGAGAAACGGCAGTCAGTGATAAATTTCCGCAGTTTCATCTCTTCTATTTCCCGTATGGGACAAAAGTCTTAGTCTTCAGACAGAAGTATAATAAAAACTGTCAATCAGGATACTGTGGAAACTCATTGCATCTAAAGGGAAGGAAACAGAAAGCTCTACCCGGAGGGAGGGATGAGAATACATGCTAGACACACTACAGCTTGAAGAGGGGTAGGAGCACCTTTGAAAGCCATACACTAGAGGCTAAGTGATACAGTGTCTACTAAGCCTAATGCTTAATCAGAACATCAGAGAATTTGGCCCTGGTCCTCCACTAGGCTAAGAAGCACCAAGTGAAAATAATAGGGAATACAATTAGGAGAGCTACAAGAAACAGATTCTCTCTTGAGCACATTGGAAATATTCAAAGCCAAGAAGGAAGCGGACACTGAGAAAATAACTCTGGAAAATTAGCTCACATTCTAAGTGCAAGGAATCACTAAAGGAATTTCAAGCCGATGGTGCACTGAGTGTAACCATATAGCAATCAAACCCGGGGAAGAGGAAAGCAAGATGGTAAAATAGAAGGCTCCATCGACCGTCCCCACCACAAGGACACCAATTTAACAACTATCTACACACCAAAAAAGCACCTTCATGGGAACCAAAACTCAGGGGAGCACTAACAGTACCTGGCTTTAACTTAATATCACTGAAAGAGGCACTGAAGAGGTAGAAAAGGGAGTCTCGAATCACCACCACCACCCACACCCACTCCCAGCAGTGGCAGTGTGCTGCAGAGAGCATTTCAGTGCACTGGGGGAGGGAGAGCACCGCAATTGTGAGGCATTGAACTCAGTGCCACCCTATTATAGCAGAAAGAGAAACCATACCAAATTTGCTGATACCCACCTACAGAGGGAGCATTTAAAGCAGCCCTAACTTTTTAACGATCGCCATTCTAACTGGCATGAGATGGTATCTAAGGAAGCAACAGATGCTGGAGAGGATGTGGAGAAATAGGAATGCTTTTACACTGTTGGTGGGAGTGTAAATTAGTTCAACCATTGTGGAAGACAGTATGGTGATTTCTCAAGGATCTAGAACCAGAAATGCCATTTGACCCAGCAATCCCATTACTGGGTACATACCCAAAGGATTATAAATCATGCTGCTATAAAGACACATGCACACCTGTGTTTACTGTGGCACTGTTCACAATAGCAAAGACTTGGAACCAACCCAAATGCCCATCAATGATAGACTGGATAAAGAAAATGTGGCACATATACACCATGGAATACTATGAAGGCATAAGAAAGGATGAGTTTGTGTCCATTGAAGGGATATGGATGAAGCTAGAAACCATCATTCTCAGCAAACTAACACAGGAACAGAAAACCAAACACTGCATGTTCTCACTCATAAGTGGGAGTTGAACAATGAGCATACATGGACACAGGGAGGGGAACATCACACACTGGGCCTGTTGGGGGTGGGGGCTAGGGGAGGGATAGCATTAGGAGAAATACCTCATGTAGATGACGGGTTGATGTGTGCAGCAAGCCAACATGGCACATGTATACCTATGTAACAAACTTGCACATTCTGCACATGTACCCCAGAGTTTAAAGTATAAATAAATAAATTAAATAAATAAATCCAGCCCTAGGCAGAGAGGAATCTCCAATCCCAGCAGTCCAAACTTGAATTTCTGCAATCCTTACCACTGTGGGCTAAAGTGCTCTGTGTTCCTAAATAAACTTGAAAGGCAGTCTAGTCCACAAGGATTACAACACCTAGGCAAGTCCTAGTGCTGAACTGGGCCCAGGGCCAGTGGACCTGGGGGCACGTGACCTACTGAGATACCAGCTGGGGCAGCTAAAGGAGTGCTGGCATCACCCTTCCCCAACCCCAGGCTGTACAGCTTACAGTACCACAAAAGACCCCTTCCCTCCACTTGAGGAGAGAAGGAAGAATGGGGAGAACTTTGTCTTGCATCTTGGATAGCAACTCAGACACAACAGAATAGGGCACTGATCAGAGTCCTGAGGCCTCCTTTCCATGCTCTAGCTCCCAGATAACATTACTAGACATACCCTGGGCCAGAAGGGAACACACTGCCTTGAAGGAAAGGAGCCAGTCCTGGCAGCATTTATTACCTACTAGCTGAAGAATCCTTGGGTCCCGAAAAACCAGCGGCAATATCCTGGTACTACATCAAGGGCCATGGCTGAGCCTCTGAGATTTGCTGGCTTCAGGTGAAACTCAGCACATTCCCAACTGTGATGGTTACAGGACAAGATTCCTGCTTAAGAAAAGCAGAGGGAAAAGTAAAGAATTTCTCTTGCACCTTAGGTACCAGCTTGACCACACATGGATAGAGCACCAAGTGGGCTCTTGGGGCCCTCAATTAGAAGACTTGCTCTTGGATGGCATTTTTGGGCCTGCTTTGGGCCAGAGGGGAGCCCACTGCCCTGCAGGGTGAGTCTCAGGCCGGGTAGCCTTCACTACAAGCTGACTGAAGAGATCTTGTACCTTAAGGGAACATTGGCAGTAGTCTGGCAGTACTCTGTAGGCCTGTGGTGGTGGTGGCCCCAGGGTGAGGCTTCTCTGCATTTGGAAAGGCGAAGGAAGAGGGGGAAGGACTGCGTCTAGTGGTTTGAGTGCCATCTTAGCTACAATGCAATAGAACACCAGGTAGACTTCCAAGGTTTTTGAATCTAGTCCCTGGCTCCCAGACAGCACCTCTGGACCTACCCAGATCCTGAGGAAACTCACCACCCTGAAGGGAAGGGCACCAACCTGGCTGACTTTGCCACCTGCTGATTGTAGAGCCCCAGGGCCTTGAGCAAACATAACTGGTAGCTAGGGAATGGTTACAGCAAGCCTTGGATGAGACCCAGTGCTGTGCTGGCTTCAGGTCTGATCCAGCACAGTCATAGTGGGAGTGGCCACAGGGGTGCTTATGTCACTCCACTCTCAGCTTCAGGTGGCTCAGAACAGAGAGAGAGAGAGACTCCATTTGTTTGGAAGAAAGTAAGGGAAGAGAATAAGAATCTCTGTCTAATAAACCAGAGAATTCTCCCAGATCTTGACTAAAACCATCAAGGGGGTACCACTATGCGTCTGCAAGAAACACAGCATTACTGGGCTTGGGGTGCCCCCTAAAGCAGATACAGCTTAGATCACAACACCTAAGTCCTTTTGAATACCTGGAAAGCCTTCCCAAAAAGAACAGGTACAAACATGCCCAGGCAGTAAAGACTATAATAAATACCTAACTCTTCAATGCCCAGACACATTTAAACATCTACAAGTATCAAGGCAATCCATGAAAACATGTCCTCACCAAATAAACTAAATAAAGCACAAGAGACCAATCCTGGAGAAAGAGAGATATGTGACCATTCAGACACAGAATTCAAAATAGCTGTCTTGAGGAAACTCAAAGAAATTCAAGATAACACAGAGAAGGAATTCAGAATTCTATCAGATCAATTTAACAAAGAGATTGAAATAATTAAAAACAAGCAGAAATTCTTGAGCTGAAAAATGCAATTGACATACTGAAGAACGCACCAGTCACTTACTAGCAGAATTGAACAAGGAGATTCAAGAAAGAATCAGTGAGCTTGAAGACAAGTTATTTGAAAATATATCTCCAGAGGAGACAAAATTTAAAAAAAGAATAAAAATCAAGCAAGCACACCTACAAAATCTATTTTCTTGTAGCACACCTACAAGAAAATAGCCTCAAAAGGACAAATCTGAGAGTTATTGGCTTCGAAGAGGAGGTAGAGTAAGAGACAGGTAGAAACTTTATTTAGAGGGATAATAACAGAGAACTTCTCAAACCTACAAAAAAAAGTCACTATCCAAGTACAAGAAGGTTATAAAACACCAAGAAGATTTAACCCAAAGAAGATTACCACAAGGCATTTAATAAACTCTCCAATATCAAAGATAAAGAATAGATCCTAAAAATAGCAAGAGAAAAGAAACAAATAACATACAATGGAGCCTCAATACATCTAGCAACAGAATTTTCAGTAAAAACCTTAAAGGCCAGAAGAGAGTGGCATGACATATTTAAAGTGCTGAAGGAGGAAAAAAAAACTTTGACACTAGAATAGTACATCTTGGCCAAAATATCCTTCAAACATAAAGGAAAAATAAAGACTTTCCCAGACAAGCAAAAGCTGAGGGATTTCATCATCAGGCCTGTCCTGTAAGAAATGCTAAAGGGAGTATTTCAATCAGAAAGAAAAGGACATTAATGAGCAATAAGTAATCACCTGAAGGTGCAAAACTCACTAGTAATAGTAAGGACACAGAAAAATACAGAATATTATAACACTATAAGTGGGATGGGTAAACTACTCTTATCCTAAGTAGAGAGACTTAATGATGAACCAATCAAAAATAATAACTGTAACAACTCTTCAGGACATAGTACAAAAAAATATAAACAGAAACAACAAAAAGTTTAAAAGTGGGGGGATGATGTTAATGTGTAGAGTTTTTATTAGTTTTCTTTTTGCTTATTTGTTTATGCAAACCATGTTAAGTTGTTATCAGTTTAAAATAATGGGTTATAAGATAGTATTCACAAGCCGCACGGTAATCTCAAACTAAAAAACATGTAACAAACATATAAAATATAAAAAAGCAAGAAAGTAAATTGTATCACCAAAAAAATCACCTTCACAAGAAAGAAAATAAGAAGGAAAGCAAGAAGGAAGAGAAGAGTACAAAACAACCAGAAAACTAGTAACAAAATGGAAGGAGTAAGTCCTTACTTAATAATAACAGTGAATGTAAACTGATTAAACTCTTCAATAAAAAAACAGAGTGGCTAAATGGATTTTTTAAAAAGACCCATTGATGTGTTGCCTACAAGAAACACATTTCACCTATAAAGACACATATAGACTGAAAATAAACGGATGGAAAAAGATATTCCATGCCAACAGAAGCCAAAAAAGAACAGGAGTAGCTGTGCTTATATCCGACAAATTGACTTCAAGACAAAACTCTAAGAAGAGACAAAGAAGGACACTATATAATGATAAATGAGTTAATTCAGCAAAAGGATATAACAATTTTAACTAAATATGCTCCCAACACTGGAGCACTCAGATATATAAAGCAAATACTATTAGAACTAAAGAGACAGACTCCAATACAATAATAGCTGGACACTTCAACATCCCACTTTCAACATTGGACAGATCTTTCCAACAGAAAATCAACAAAGAAACAGTGGACTTAATCTGCACTATAGACCAAATGGATTTAATAGATATTTACAGAACATTTTATCCAAAGCCTGCAGAATATACATTCTTCTCCTGAGCATGTGAATTATTCTCAAGGACAGACAATATGTTAGGTCACAAAACAAGTCTTAAAACACTTTAAAAAATTTGAAACAATATTAATTATCTTCTCAGACCACAATGGAATAAAACTAGAAATCAATAACAAGAGGAATTTTGGAAACTATGCAAATACATGGAAATTAAACAACATGCTCCTGAATGACCATTGGATTAATGAACAAATTAAGAAAAAAAATTGAAAAATTTCTTAAAACTAATGTTAATGGAAACACAACATAAGAAAACCTATGGCATACAGCAAAAGAAATCCTAAGGGAAGTATATAGCTGTAAATGCCTACATCAAAAAAAGAAGAAAAACTTCAAATAAACAATTTAATGATTCATCTTAAAGAACTAGAAAAGCAACAGCAAACCAAACCCAAAGTTAGTAGAGAACAGAAATAAAGATTGGAGCAGAAATAAATGAATTTAAATTAAATAAAACAATACAAAAGATCAATGAAACAAAAAGTTGTTTTTTTCTAAGAATGAGATCGTGTCTTTTGTGTGAACATGGATGAATCTGCAGGCCATTATCCTTACCAAACTAACGCAGGAAGAGAAAGCCAAATACCACATGTTCTCACTTATAAGTGTCAGCTAAATGATGAGAACTTATGTACGCAAAGAAGGGAACAACAGACAGTGGGGCCTAATTGAGGATGGAGGATGGGAGGAGGAAGAGGAGCAGAAAAAATATTGGGTACTAGGCGTAGTACCTGGGTGACAAAATAATCTATACAATAAGCACCCATGACATGAGTTTACCTATATAACAAACCTGCACATATACCCCTGAACCTAAAATAAAATTTTTCTAAAATTGGTTTTTTGAAAAGTTAAACAAAATTGACAAACTTTTAGCTAGAATAACTAAGAAAAAAAGAGATAAGATCCAAATAAACAAAAGCAGGGATGAAAAAGCAGACATTACAACTGATACTGCAGATATTCAAAGGATTATTAGTGGCTACCATAAGCAACTATACATAAATAAATTGGAAACTCTAGAAGAAATGGACAAATTCCTAGACACATTTAACCCACCATGATTGAATCATGAAGAAATCCAAAACCTGAAGAGACCAATAACAAGTAATGAGATCCAAGCCATAACAAAAAGTCTCCCAATAAAGAAAAGCCTGGGACCTGAGGGCTTTATTGCTAAATTATACCAACTATTTAAAGAAGAATTAATACCAATCTTATTCAAACTATTCCAAAAAACAGAGGAGGAGGGAATACTTCCAAATTCATTTTACAAGGCTAGTATTTCCCTGATACCAAAACCAGGCAAAGACATCAGAAAAAGAAAACTACAGGCCAATACCTCTGGTGCATACTAATCCAAAAATCCTCAACAAAATACTAGCAAACTGAATTCAACAATACATTAGAAAGATGATTCATCATGATCAAGTGGGATTTATCCCTGGGATGCAAGGATGGTTCAACATATGCAAATGAATTAATGTGATACATCATGTCAACAGAATGAAGGACAAAAGCCATATAATCATTTCAACTGATGCTGAAAAAGAATCTGATAAAGTTCAACGTCTCTTCATGATAAAAACCTTCAAAAAACTGAGTATACAAGGAACATACTTCAACATAATAAAAGCCATATACCACAGACCCACAGTTAGTATTATACTGATTAGGGAAAAACTGAAAGCCCTTCCTCTGAGATGTGGAACATGACAGGGATGCCCACTTTTACCACTGTTATTCAGCATAGTACTGGATGTCCCAGCTAAAGCAATCAGACAAGGAAAAGAAATAAAGAGTATCCAAATTGGAAAGGAAGAAGTCAAATTATCCTTGGTTGCAGATTATATGATCTTATATTTGGAAAAACTTAAAGACTCCACCAAAAAACTATTAGAACTGATGAACAAATCCAGTAACATTGCAGGATACAAAATCAACATACAAAAATCAGTAGCATTTCTATATGCCAACAATGAACAATCAGAAAAAGAAATTTAAAAAATAATCCCACTTACAATAGCAATAAATAACATTAAATTCCTAGGAATTAACCAAAGAAGTAAACGATCTCTATACTGAAAACTATGAAACACTGATGAAAGAAATTAAAGGGGACAGCAAAAAATGGAAAGATATTCTACGTTCATGTGCTGGAAGTATTGTTAAAATGTGCATACTACCCAAAGCAATCTACAGATTAAATGCAATCCCTATCAAAATACCAATGACATTCTTCACAGAAATGAAAAAAAAAATCCTAGAATTTCTATGGAACCACAAAAGACCCAGAATAGCCAAAGCTATCCTAAGCAAAGAAAGCAAAACTGGAGGAATCACATTACCTGACTTTAAATTATACTACAGAGCTATAGCAGCCAAGACAGCATGGTTCTGGCATAAAAATAGACACATAGACCAATGGAACAGAATAGAGGACCCAGAAACAAATCCACACACCTACAGTGAACTCACTTCCAACAAACGTGCCAAGAACATACACTGGGGAAAAAGCAGTCTCTTCAATAAATGGTGCTGGGAAACCTGGATATCCATATGTAGAGAAATGAAACTAAACCTCTATATCTTACCATATACAAAAATCAAATCAAAATGGATTAAAGACTTAAATCTAAGCCCTCAAACTATGAAACTACTGCAAGAAAACATTAGGGAATCTCTCCAGAACACTGGTCTGGGCAAAAACTTCTTGAATATTATCCTACAAGCATAGGCAACCAAAGCAAAAATGGGCAAATGGGATCATATCAAGTTAAGAGGCTTCTGCGTGTCAAAGGAAACAATCTACAAAGTAAAGAGACAACCCACAGAACGGGATAGAAATACTTGCAGACTATTCATCTGACAAGGGATTAATAGCCAGAATATATAAGGAGCTCAAACAACTTAATTGGAAAAAAATTGAATAATTCAATCAAAACATGGACAAAATATTTGAATAGCCATTTATCAAAAGAAGACAGAAATGGCAAACAGGCATATGAAAAGGTGTTCAACATCACTGATCATCAGAGAAATGCAAATCAAAACCACAATGAGATATTATCTCACCCCAGTTAAAATGGCTTTTATCCAAGACAGGCAATAACAAATGCTAGCAAGGATATAGAGAAAAGGGAACCCTTGTACACTCCTGATAGGAATGTAAATTAGTACAACTGCTGTGGAGAAAATTTGGAAGTTCCTCTAAATCCTAAAAGTTGAGCTATCATATAGTCCAGCAATCCCACTGCTAGATATATACCCAAAAGAAAGGAAATCATTACTTCAAAGAGATATCTGCACTCCCACGTTTGTTGCAGCACTGTTGACAATAGCCAAGATTTGGAAGCATCAACAGATGAATGGATAAAGAAAATGTGGTACATATACCCAATGGAGTACTATTCAGCTATAAAAAAGAATGAGCTCTTGTCATTTGCAACAACATGGATGGAACTGGAGATCTTTATCTTAAGTGAATAAGCTAGGCACAGAAAGACAAACATTGCATGTTCTTACTTATTTGTGGGATCTAAAAATCAAAACAATTGAACTCACGAAGATAGTGGAAGGATGGTTACCAGAGGCTAGGAAGGGCAGTGGGTGCTGTGGGGGAGGTGGGGATGGTTAATGGATACAAAATGATAGAAAGAATAAAACCTAGTATTTAATAGCACAGCAGGGTGACTATGATTATAGTCAATAATAATTTAATTGTACATTTTAAAATAACTAGAAGAGTATAACTGGATTGTAACACAAAGGATAAATGCTTGAGGGGATGGGCATCCCATTCTCCATGATGTGATTATTACACATCACATGCCTGTATCAAAACATCTCATGTACCCTATAAATATGTACCATAAAAATTAAAAATTAAAAAAATGTTAAAAAACCCTCAAACTTAGCTCAACTTCTGACTATATTAACAGAAATCCCAACATTATAGGCCTATTAGAAAGAAAGGTATACACAACTCTAATCATAAAAAGGATTCATCTCAGTATCTTCTGAGATGAAATATGATATACAAAATGTCCATCTTTAAATGAAAAGTACAAAGCATACCAAAAGTCAAGACAAAACACACCCCCAGGGAGAAAAAAAATCAATAATTAGAACTAGACTCAGATATGATTCAGTTGTTTGGACTATCAGACAGGAAATTTCAAATAATTATGATGAATATGTTAAAGGCTCTAGAGGAAATGATAGGCAACATAAAGGAGAAGATGGGTAATTTCAGAAGAGGATAAAACAATAAGGAATAATAAAATGGAAATTCTAGAAATAAAAATGCATAGTAGCAAAGATCTTGATGTCTTGATTTACTCATCAGTAGATTAGGCAGAGCCAAGGAAAGAAGCAGTGAATTTGAAGGTAATCAATAGGAATTACCCCAACTGAAACACAAAGGGAATAAGAGTGACAAAGAAAAGGAAAAGGGCATCCAAGAGCTGTGAGAGGGTCAAATGGTCTAATGTACATGTAATTGGAATCCCAAAAAGAGAGATAAAACAGGGCTCAAAAAATATTTGAAAAAACTATATAACCAAGATTTTTCCAGAATTACTGGCAGTCACCAAAACACAGATCCAAGAAGGTCATGTGAAACCAAAGAGGACAATTATAAACAAAACAAACACTTAGGCATGTAATATGCAAACTGCTGAAAACCAAAAGCAAAGAGAAAATCCTGTAGGGAGCCAGAGAAATAAGACATTAGCTACAGAAGAAGATGGATAACAATTACGGCAGACTTCTTGTTGGAAATCAGGCAAGCAATAAGACAATAGGATGGCATCATGAAGATTCCGAAATAAATAACTATTGCCCTATAGTTCTATACCCAGCCAAAAAAAATCTATCAAAAATGAAGGTGAAATAATTTTTTTAGACAAAAGCTTAAGATAATTGCTAACTACCTTAGTACAACCACTATGGAGAAAAGCTTGGGAGTCTCTCAAAAACCTAAGAATTGAACTACCATATGATCCAGCAATCCCACTGCTAGGTATATTCCCAAAGGAAAGGAAATCAGTATATTGAAGAGATATCTGCACTCCCATGTTTGTTGAAGCACTGTTCACAGTAGCCAAGACTTGGAAGCAACCTCAGTGTCCATCAACAGATGAATGGAAACAAACACCTAGGCATGTGATACTTAAACTGGTGAAAACCAAAAGGAATATATAAGACATATTAAAGAAAGTCCTTCAGGCAGAAAAAAAGAAGGTGTCAGTTGGAAATCTAGATCTACACTTAAGAATGGAATAATTTAAGGAAGAATAAAATTCATTTTTTCAGAGTTATAATTGTTCTGAAAAAATAGCTAATTATCTAAAGCAAAACTAGTAACAATGCATTGTGTGTTAATATTAGTAACAAAAGTAAAAATAAAATATACCAAAATAGCACAACCATATTTTACTGGCAAAAGACTTAAAAACATTTCATTAGGGAAGAGGATTTACAGATAGCAAATAAGCACAGAAAAAAATGCATAACAGCAAGAATTATCAAGGAAATACCAATTAAAACCACTAAGAGATAACACTACAAGCTCATTAGAATGGCAAAAGAAAAATATTTCAATACCATATGTTGTTGAGAGTGTGGAACAGCAACAGGAATTCTCATTCATTTTTGGTAGAAATGAAAAGTTGTACAACTGCCTTTGAAAACAGTCTGGCAATTTATTATAAAGTTAAACATTCAGTTTACTAAATGATCCATTAATCTCACATCTAGGTGAACTGAGAACACGTTTGCACAAAAATTCTTATGTGAATGTTTATAGCAGATGTGTTCAGAAGTGTCAAAAATTAGAAACAGCCAGATGTCCTTCAACAGGCAAATAGATAAACTGTGGTAAATCCATACAATGGAATCCTACACAGCAATAAAAAGAAACCCACTATCAATTCACACAATAACACAGATGAACTTTCAATGCATTTTTTAGGGAAAGAAGTCAAATCTGACCGGGCGCGGTGGCTCACGCCTGTAATCCCAGCACTTTGGGAGGCCGAGGTGGGCGGATCATGAGGTCACGAGATAGAGACCATCCTGGCTAACACGGTGAAACCCCGTCTCTACTAAAAATATAAAAAAATTAGCTGGGCGTGGGGGCGGGCGCCTGTAGTCCCAGCTACTCAGGAAGCTGAGGCAGGAGAATGGCGTGAACCCGGGAGGCAGAGCTTGCAGTGAGCTGAGATCGAGCCACTGGACTCCAGCCTGGGCAACAGAGCGAGACTCAGTCTCAAAAAAAAAAAAAAAAAAAAGAAGTCAAATCCAAAAGACTACATATTACATTATTCCACTTTTGTGCTGTCCTGGAAGAAACCAAACTGTAAGAACACAAAATGAATCAGTGGTTGAGAGAGGTGAGAGTGATGTTAACTAAAAGGGACAGCATAACAGAATTTGGTGAGGGTGCGACAGAACTGTTCTTCGGGTTACTGTGGTAGTGAGTATATGACCATGCATGAAAACCCATAGAACTGCATAGAGTTCTACACAAAAAGCACATTTTACTCTGTATACATTAATCAAAACATCGACCACGATGTTTGGAGGATCTCACTAAAGTGGGTGGGGGAGAAAGGCACTGACCTAAGTAACTCTGGAAAACATTGCTCTGACCAGATATGGCTGAAGACAAAAAGGACCGCACACAAACCCTGGACTCTAGTAAGATCGTGAACACAAACGCAAGCATCATAACTAAATTTGAGTAGCAATTTTTCAGTCTACTGTCAATAGTATAGGATGATGCTTTTAAAGATTATTTTAGAAATGAATATGCAAAGTCAAATAATTATCACAGTGAGCTCGAGGACAATAAGTCCACGAACCTTGGGGCTTGAGGAATCCCCAGTCACCTTTGTATCTTCTCACGCTAAGACCTACCCTGTTAACACTTCTCTGCCCTTATTGGATGGTGATATAAGTCCTTTGAAGACAAGGTTGTTGCCTTATTTCATTTTCTGCACCCTAAGATCATGGATGGGGCCTGGAACATTGTAGACATGCAAGAATGGTGCAGAGTAAATGAGATGAAGTGGGCTGTCCAGGATCATACAGCTGGCAACTGGCAGGTCCTGGGAGCCCCTCTCTGCCCCTCACCAGCACTGGAAGTCACTCTCAGCCCCCACTTCCAAAAGATCTCCCTAGCTCAGCCCTTCAAGATCTGATCATGATGCTTTGCACTTGGCTACATTTCTTTTTATCAATTCATTTCAAGCAGGTTCATCTGGCCTCCATGATTGGACCTTGGCTGGGATGTGACATTTCTTTATCTCTCTCTGTTGGTTTGCTCAGCGTTCAGCCTGTAACTGACTGAATGTCCAGGCCTCCCAGCCAGTGTGGGCCTTGGGGCAGGGTGGGCAGAATGGGGATCACTGCACTGCTTTCTCTTTCCATCTCATTCAACACACTTCCATCGTAGAATCTTAACATCTTGGCACTGAATGAGAACTCAGAGGTCTGATCTGTGCCCACTTAGTGGAGATGTAACCCAGAGAGGACAAGTCACTGTCTTAAAGGCATAGAGTTCACACTGAAGGTGAGGTTAAAATTCAGACCTGCCTTGGGGCCAGCAATGTTATATGGTGGGCTCTGAGCAGGACTCTGGGGACACAAAGTGAGTCAGAGAGGCGATGCCCTGCAGGAAGCCCAACTAAGTGAAGGAGACTGACTCATCTGCAAAATATTGTAAAATACAATGATTAGGACAGTAGGGTTTGCACAGTGCTTATAAGATGCCAGGACTCAGTGGCTGTGTTCAGCCCAACCCAACTACAAGAAGGGACTGATACCCATCTTAATTTGAGATTCCCAGGACATCTCTGTTCCAACAGGCCTCAATGACCCCCATAACCTGACCTTATCTCACTCCCTATTAGATGGCACCAGCATAGAGCACAGACAATCTCTGGAATCTGCTTGGTAGGACTCCCATATGAAGACAACAAAATATTCTTACCCAAGGAGAAAAAGCCCTGTCCAAACCACATGGAACAAGGTTTGATTCTACCTTTATAGTCAAGTGTTACCAAAATGTTGCCCCTTATCAAGACTATACAAGCAATGCAGGCCCAAGATTATGATTTGATTACAAAGTTTAGCATATGTTTATCTGTAGGATGTTTTCATTTTGGCATTTATTTCATGGCATAGGGAGATTTAAAAAGCACCACCAACATTTGTAAGCCTAGGAAAATATCTAGGCTTACAATTCATCAAATGGTGCCTGAGAAGGGATTGGGCGTTGATGATCTGGTGAAATCCCAGCATATCATGCTGCCCAGCCCCAGTTCTGACTGCACTCCCCGAACCTACTGGAGAAAAGCGCTGTTAATTAGGTGCCATTGGCACAGGTGCTCAAGCCACAAGCTTAGGTGTTCAGGGTCTGTACATAAATTAGTCAAAGAAAAGATAAACATTTTGGCAGAATAAGCATATTCTCAGGGGAGAAAGAGAGAACTGCAGGGCTTGTGTTTTCTAAACTTGTTTTGAAACTATAAAAATTTATTTTAGAAAAGAAATGTTTATCAAATGAATGCTCTGAATTGTGAACTCAAGGTATAAAAATTGTTAGCTGAGCATTTTTGTCTCTGAGACTTTGAGAAAAGGGAAAAGTAAATACAAATGATGTCCTCCCCACCACTTGCTCCAGAATGAGAGCAGAAAAAAGGTTTCTGGAAAGGCCCAAGCTGAAAAGACATGGCAGAGCTTCAGATCTGTTCAGTGCTACCCAGAGAAGGCTGGACACCTAAACTCACACTCAAAGTGGAGATTTCCAGAGAGAGACCCAGCAAATAAGAACACAGTCAGGCTGAGCAAGTCACCGAGGAAGGCTTGATGTGAAAGCATGGCCTCCACGCAGTCTGCAGGATCTACACCTTTCTTGACTGTGAGTCCTTTCCAGCACAGGAAAGGTTGGTTGGAAACCTGGCTATGAAAGTTCTACTTCTGTGTGGCCTCAGACCTGGCTCCCATGGTGACTTATTGTGATTCTTACTTTAAAAGACTCTGCTTTGTGGGAACCTTTGATTTACATTAGCAATAAATTAAGATAATCACATCTAACATACTATTCCAGTGTAACTTATCTAATGCAGGTAATCTCATCTAACATATCTGTAATAGAATTCAGTTTAAACATGTAATTAAGCCATATTTTTCAGCACAATTGGCCTGGGATGGAACTTTAAGGAGGTCTGGTGGGAGTTAACTCAACAACTAAATCCCTGTTGAGAACAGGGAGGTGACCTAAATGAGGAAGGTGGGTCTGCTGTGAATGACAGGACATGGGACTGCAGGGAGGACACCCCAAGCCCTGCTGAAAGGGACCTCAGCTGAGCCCACTGCTGCCATGTGGGAATGCAAGGACTATGTTCAGAGAGATCCTGATTCTTCAAGAGAAATGGGAAATCTAGATTCTTAGTGATACAATATTGGCATCTAAGTTATATATAGTTTTAAAGTACTTTTCTAGACAAATAGAGCGTGTCTTTGGGAAATATTTGTCTCAAGGCCTGTCATTTTATGATCACGTCATCCTGATATGTATAGCATGATGCCAGAGGAAAGGTAGGAAAGTATGTCACCCTTCGAGGTCCATATCTTGTCCTCATTAACATCATGCTCTCCATTCCTTATTAAAAACTTTTGCTGGTTCCCCACAGACTCTACCAGAGGTAAGAAATAGGTTCATCTTGCTGGCCAATGCAAATCAAGTCATAGTTGTTACTCAAGGGAGTTCTGCTTGAGAAGGAATCTGGGCTCCAGCATGAAGGAGTGCTGGGATTGATTAATGATGTCTACTATGACCACATGCTAGGGAGCAGTGTCTTACCACATGCATGTCTTATATCTGCCACTGAGATCCATAAATTTGGTCCACATACCTTAGCAGAGTTTTGATGGTCTTCAAATCTCCATCTGTCTTTCTAACCTCAAGCCCCGCTCCCATACTCCCACCAACATGCACCTAACACTCAAACTCCCCCTTCCCTCTACTCAAAGAGATCATCATTCCTTACATTCACCTTGCTTTTATAATTCTTGCTCTTATGTTCTTCTCTGTCTGAAATGCCCTCATCATTCTTGTCTGCCTCCTGTGCACCCCTCAAGACACGGCTCAAACATCACCTTCTCCATAAAGTCTTCCCCGTCTCTCCAATAGTAACACTCATGTGCCCCCATTTTACTTTTACATTTTACCCATGTTTACAGGAGGATTTATAAACGTGACCCATTCAAGGTCATAAATCAGGTCTTAATTATCTATGTGTCTCTGGCACACCTGGCACCACAACAGACTCAAAATGTATTTATGGATTAATGGAATTTATTTATTAATGGTGATTTAACTTCTTATGAGGTTTGAATCAATGGCATATCTTGGGCCAAGTCTCCCAAAGTTCAGTTGTCTGTGTGATATGGTTTGGCTGTGTCCCCAACCAAATCTCAACTTGAATTGTAGTTCCCATAATCCCCACATGTCATTGGAGGGACTCAGTGGGAGGCAATGGAATCATTGGGGCAGTTACTCTCATGCTGCTATTCTTGTGATAGTAAGTGAGTTCTCACAAGATCTGATGGTTTTATAAAGGGCTTTTTTCCCTTTTTGCTTGTTACTTCTCCTTCCTGCCACCATGTGAAGAAGGATTTGTTTGCTTCCCCTTCCACCATTATTGTAAGTTTCCTGAGGCCTTCCCAGGCATGCTGAACTGTGTGTCAATTAAAACTCTTTCCTTTATAAATTACCCAGTCTCAGGTGTGTCTTTATTAGCAGTGTGAGAACAGACTATTATAGTGTGGGACTCTTACAGCTTTTGTCATGTCTTCAGATCTTAAACTAGTTTGTTTTATCATTGGAGAAAGACAGCACATTAAGCTGGTTTGAAGTGATAATATGCATATTTTGTGGGTGATCTATAACATCTGATCTCTCCATCCTTCCATTAACTTGTGGAAGGAGGCTCACTTGCTGAAGATTTATAACTTTCATAGGCATGACTGGCCACTGTCCTTCAAATTCACACAGTTTGGGAAAGGCCAATTCAGCTCTGCCTACTCAGCTTTGTCCCAAGCAAGAATATATCTGTAATTCTTTGTGATAATGACATTATTGTCTAAAGTACATTAAAATAAATGTATAGATATTAAAAATCTTGAAAGGTATGTCTATGTGCCACCAAGCCTCATTTGATACATCCCCAGTGGCACATGTGCCGTGTTTGAAGAAATGCTGAAGTAAGAGATGTATTTCCTGAAAGCACACAGTAGGCACAATTGAAAGGCTCTGCTGACACATCGCAACTATGATTTATAAATCTCATTTGAAGATGCCATTAAGATGCCCATCTTACTGATGACTAAACAGAAGTCCCAGAATGACAGCACCTCCTACTCACTCAAGATGGATATTATAACTCAGTTGAAGAGTCTGATGCTCCATTGTCTTCCCTAAATCACTGTTGGCAACTCCTCATACAGAGGGTGCTTGTTTCAACACAGATTTATGGCCACAGAAGCCTCCCTTTCCTTTCACAAAATGGGATGAGTCACCTGACTCTCTCTTGTCTTGCAGGAAGACGCAATGCTTACAATATTCTAATAATTGTGTATTTTTAAGGATATGGATCCCCCTGTCCAGCAGCCTGTGGTCAGGCTCTTCAGAATAGACTATAAATCCTGCCTGCCACAGAGACCACATGCCCAGTTAAATGCCACAGCAGGGCCGGGCATGGTGGCTCACGCCTGTAATCCCAGCACTTTGGGAGGCTAAGGTGGGTGGATCACCTAAGGTCAGGAGTTCAAGACCAGCCGGGCTAACATGGTGAAATCCTGTCTCTACTGAAAGTATAAAAATTAGCCGGGTGTGGTGGCACACACCTGTAATCCCTGTTACTTGGGAGACTGAGGCAAAAGAATTGCTTGAACCCGGGAGGCAGAAGTTGCAGTGAGCCGAGATCGTGTCAGTGCATGCCAGCCTGGGTGACAGAGTGAGACTCTGTCTCAATAAATAAATAAATAAATAAATAAATAAATAAATAAATAAATAAATAAATATAAATAAATGCCACAGCAGGCAGGTGGTCCAGGGCACTTTCAAGGCCCAGAATAGCCTACAGAACACAGATGAGCAGAGCTTCTTGGGAAGCCAGGTGCTGACTCTTTGCCTGGATTTTTGTGTACAGAGATTCCGAGTACCAATCCAAGTGCTGCTCCCTTTATCCAGCAAGTACACATTTAGCTGTTTCAAAAACAGCCAGAAGAAAATCATTGGGGCAACATAAACATAGCCATTTGATACCTTTGCAGAGATAACTCAATCAAAAACTCACTTCCCACTGCCTCTACCACTACCAAATTTTCAAGGTCAGCCAGGAGCAGAATGCTTGCTGCCCAGCACTGCACTTCCAACTGCCTTACTTCCTTATAGATTTCAGTAATCTCAGAAATTACCATAAATTTAAAAATAATAACTAATATTGATAAACTTGACAGTTTAGGGTACTTCAAGTATGTTTCTTCAGTGGTTACCAAACTGGAGTCAATTGCATACTACCTTTAAGATTTGTATATTTACATATCACCTATAACATTATTAACATAATATTCTGAAGTGCTGACTTTGGAGATGACTTGGCTCTCTAAGGAGCTCTGTGGACCCACTCTCCACCAAAACAATCATAATTGGAGAAAATTTGTATTCTTTAAAAAAAAACATTTAAAGGATACTGGTTTAACCATTTAAATGGAAACCATCCTAAGGGCAGACATCAAATAAGGAGGCATCGATTTAAGAAAATCTCTGAAATCTCAGAAAGAAGAGCAAGTGGCACATGAGCCAGAACCCACTTCCTTCTTCCACACTACTCAGCTAAGAATAACAGAATCTCTATTTCAGACAGATGTGGTCAAAGATGGGGCTCTTACCACCCCCATACGCCAGGTGTAGCTGTGTTATTTCCCAAGGGGAGGCAGGCTACCAACATTCCTCATCTCCACTCTAGCTCCATGTGGCAGAGTCTAAATACCAGGTCAGTGTGACTAAGAGAGACACAGGCTCCCTTCCTCCACCCAGCCCTACTTGCAGGTCAGATGCCCCACTCCATGCATGGCAAGTTGAGACTACTATGGCCGAATAACCCTCACGTCAGCTCACTCATAGGCCATAAGTTCCAATTTGGGAGAGGCAGGCTGAGAATACTAGAGGCTAGTGTCCCCACCCAGCACCCTGCTTTTAAAATAAAGATGTCACCCAGAGAAAAATGGACCACTGCACCTGGTGTCTCAGATTTTTAAGAAGGAAGAGGAGCAGGTCATAAGAACAAAGAGCTCCCAAGCTCTCCCTAAAGGAACTCAGTCTTTATGGACCACACTCTTGTGAGGAAGTTCAAACCTAAGGGTATTCTCAAAAATAATGGAGTTTTTTTTTTTTTTGTAGTAAGCAATTAAAAAGGGACTGGCAGCTGCAGGTGAGCAACTATTAATATATAAACTCAAAGTCAGTTTCCCAGAAAGAATCAGATAAAGAGCTCTCCTGGGGTCTGGACAAACCTCAGAGACGCCTCAAACACTACCCCTCAAAGAGGCCTGAATTTAATGTATCAGACTGTGGAACAACTTATGCCCCGGGGCATTATTAGAAACAATAGAGGGATAAGCTGGAAAGTAGTGGAGCCTAACACCTTGGTATGATACCAACAGAAGTGAACAATTTAACAGAAATATCATGTAAGAGGCAGTGAAGGCCAGGCATGGTGGCTCACGCCTGTAATCCCAGCACTTTGGGAGGCCGAGGGGGGTGGATCACCTGAGGTCGGGAGTTTGAGACCAGCTTGATCAACATGGAGAAACCCCGTCTCTACTAAAAATACAAAATTGGCCAGGTGTGGTGGCGCATGCCTGTAATCCCAGCTACTTGGGAGGCTGAGGCAGGAGAATTGCTCGAACCCAGGAGGTGGAGGTTGTGGTGAGCCGAGATGGCGCCACTGCACTCCAGCCTGGGCAATAAGAGTGAAATTCCGTCTCAAAAAAAAAAAAAAAAAAGGGCAGTGAAAGAGCCCTACTAAAGTCACTGTCATAGCAGGGTGACTATCAGCATGCCCAAGGATGTGCCTTCTGAGAAGTGACATAAGGTGCTCACATTGGAAGGGAAATAGACTTTAATTAAATTTATCAGTCAGGTTGCTAAACGAACAAATAAGCAAACAACAAAAAGCCATGGGCATAGAGATCAGTACCCAGAGTGGTAAAAGCTTTCAAAAACAATGAAAAATCACAAACATGAAAAGAAATGTTGTCTTAGTCAGCTTGGTCTGTTACAACAAAATACCATACACTGGGTGGTTTAAACAACAGAAATTTATTTCTCATGGTTCTGGAAGATGGGAAGTCTACGATAAAGATGCTAGCAGACTTGGTTATTAGTGGATGACCACTTTCTGGCTTGTAGACAGCAGCTTTCTCACTGTGTGCTCACATGGCCATTCTTAATGCACATGGAGAAATGATGTCTCTGTCTTTCTCTTCTTATAAGGGCACTAATCCCATCACAGAGTCCCATCCTCATGACTAATCTCAACTTAACTACCTCCCAAAGGCCACATCTCCAAAAACCATCATGTTGGTCGTTAGGGCTGCAACACATGAATTGGGTGGGGGAACACAAAATTAAGTTCATAACAGAAAAGTGTTACCCACTGAAGGAAACTAAATATTTCATTCTTAAAATATATTTCGATATATTTTTAGACGGCTGTTCAAAGGACCTGACAACAGAAGTAGCTTTGCAAAGCTGTCTTTTGTGGAGCAAATTTGCATCTGTAGATACTCTACATTGATATGGCTAAGCTTTCTCTGAGGACCCTCCCTTGTGCAGATCGAGGAAATAAGCCTGACAACTTTAAAGGCCTGAAAGAAACATTTACTATCTCTTCTCTGAGGGCTGCTCCTTGTGGGGTTTCAGCTACATGGCAAGACCACCTTTGCCAGCCAGGCTTCCTCTTCTGCCTCTCCTATAACCTCTTTTGCCATAGTCCAAGCCTCCATTTTTTCTGTAACCTCGAGACGGTATAAAAGTGTCATATACACCATGGAATACTATGCAGCCATAAAAAATGATGAGTTCATGTCCTTTGTAGGGACATGGATGAAGCTGGAAACCATCATTCTCAGCAAACTATCGCAAGGACAAAAAACCAAACACCGCATGTTCTCACTCATAGGTGGGAATTGAACAATGAGAACACGTGGACACAGGAAGGGGAACATCACACACTGGGGCCTATTGTGGGGTGGGGGGAGGGGAGAGGGATAGCATTATGAGATATACCTAATGTTAAATGACGAGTTAATGGATGCAGCACACCAGCATGGCACATGTATACATATGTAACCTGCATGTTGTGCACATGTACCCTAAAACTTAAAGTATAATAAAAAAAAGTGTCAACCATTAAGCTATTTCTTTGAATTCTTTATGTGACTTCTTTGCACATTAATAAATGTGTATGACTTTTCTCCTATTAATCTGCCTTTTGTCAGTTGATTTTTCAGCAAGTCTTCAGAAGGCAAAGTGGAAGTTTAGCCTTGGCCCCTACACCACTCACAGTGGTAAAAAACAAAACAGGTACCAGATACTGCCTATGAGAGAGCACAGATGTTCAATGTAACAAAGAGTTGAAAGCAGCCAGTATAAATATTTCTAAACAATGTAGAAATATATTTAAAGACATAAATATGTTCAGAATTAGCATAAAGAAGTAAAAGAAGGCACTATGACAATGTACCAATAAATAGACAATATCAGAAAAAGAAATTTTAAAAAATACCAAATGAAAGTTGCAGAGTTGAAAAGTAGAAAAACTTAAATGAAAAATTTGCTAGATTAGCTCAAAATAGATTTGAGGTGGAAGAAGAAATAAGCAGCAAGACTGAGGATAGACTGATATAGATTATGCAATCCAAGGAACAAAGGAGAAAAAAGAATCAATACAAGTGAACAGAGCTTAAGAGAAATGTGGTCATCATTAAGCATCTAGATAGATAGATAGATAGACAGACAGATATCATATATATATATCTATAAAGGAATGATGAGAATTCTAGGAAGAGTAGAAAGAGAAAGGAGTAGAAAAAATATTTGAAGAAATAATGATTGAAAACATCCCCAAATTTAATAAAAATTTTAGTCTACACATCTAAGAAGTTCAGACTTCAAGTAGAATAGAGACAGAGATTCACACTCAGACACATCACAGTAAAAATTATGAAAGACAAAGACACAGAGAAAATACTTAAAACAGCAAAAGAAAAATGACTCATCTTGTATAAGAGAAACTCAATAAAATTAATAGCTGACTTCTCATCAGAAATAATAAAACCTGAGGACAGCAGGATAACATTCAAAAGGCTCAAAAAGTAAACTGTCAACCAAGAATCCTACAACTGGCAAAACTATCTTTCAAAAATGAGGGGAAATTAATATATTCTTGATAAACAGAAACTAAGAGAAAGAGTTGCTAGCAGCCCCACCTTACAAGAAATGGTAAAGGAAGTTCTTCAAACTGAAAGCAAGTTACCTAGACAGTAATCTGAATCCACATTTTTTAAAAAGCATATATCCATAATGGGATTGCTGGGTCTAATGGTAGCTCTGTTTTAAGTTCTTTCAGAAAATTTCAGACTGCTTTCCACAAGGGCTGGACTAATTTACATTCCCACTAAAAGTGTTCTCTTTTTTCTACAGCTTTGCCAGCATTTGTTGTTTTTCAAATTTTTAATAAGTAATTCTACCAAAAAGACACATGAACTCATATGTTCACTGCTGTACTGTTCACAATAGCAAAGACATGGAATCTACCCAGGTGCCCATCAGTGGTAGACTGGATAAAGAAATGTGGGATATATACACCATGGAGTACTATGCAGCCATAAAAAAAGAATGAAATCATGTCCTTTGCAGCAACATGGATGGAGCTGGAGGCCATAATCCTAAGCAAATTAACACAAGAACCAAAAAGTAAACACTGCATGTTCTCACTTATAAGTGGCAACTAAACATTGAGCACACGTGGACATAAGTAAGAGAACAGACACTGTGGACTACTATAGAGTAGAGGGTGAGAGGATGGGTTAAAAAACTATCAGGCACTATTCTCACTACCTGGGTGACAGGATCCACACTCCATGTCTCAGCACCATGAAATATTCCCATGTAAAAAATATGCACATGTACTCACATTTCTAAAAAAAATGTTGAAATTAGAAGAGTACCAGTAAAAGAAATTACATAATTGTAAGACACAGTATGAAAGTATATTTCTTTTTCTTCCTTTCTTAACTGCTTTAAAATCAATAATATAAAACAGTATGTATACAATTATATTGTTGGGCCAATAACATGAATAAATGTAATATATTTAACAATAACAGCAAAAAGAATGTAGGTGGGAGCAAAACTGTATGAGACTAAGAAAATGACATCAAATGGAAACTTTGATTCACAGAATCAAATAAAATGAGCAAGCCAGAAATGGTACCTGAGGAAGTTAATAAACAAACTATATAAATATGTACTTGCTCTACCTCTTCTCTATGCTTCTGAGACATAACATTATATAAAGTCTAATTATAATAATGCATTATTGTCTTTATAACATATAGACATGTAATATCTATAACAAATATAGCACAAACGGGTAATAGGAAGAAGTTATATAAAATTAATGCTTCTGTATCTCACTGGACTTAAGTTATAAAATCTGAAGTTTATCTGATAAGATATATGGTAAACCTCTTAACAACTATTAAGAAAATAACTCAAAAATAGTGAAGATATCATTAAAGAAATTAAAATGTTACACTAGAAAATTTAAGTGATATGAGACATACAGGAAACAGAGTAAAGTAGAAAATGTAAATTCAAACATAGCAATAATAACATTCATGTTAACTAATTTAACAATTCAACAAATAGGCAGATTAACAGACTGGATTAAAATGGAAGATCCAACTATGTTGTCTACAGGAGAAATATTTTGAATTCAAAGATAAATTCGGTTGTGGATATCCCATTTACTCTGATGTGATTACTACACATGTATGCCCATATGAAAGTATCTCATGTACCCCATAAATATAAACACCCACTATATTATATATATATAATATAGTGGGTGTATAATATATATATAAATATATATGATATATATTTATATATAATATATAAATATATATGATATATATTTATATATAATATATAAATATATATGATATATATTTTAATATATAAATATATATGATATATATTTTTAATATATAAATATATATGATATATATTTTTAATATATAAATATATATGATATATATTTTTAATATATAAATATATATGATATATATTTTTAATATATAAATATATATGATATATATTTTTAATATATAAATATATATGATATATATTTTTAATATATAAATATATATGATATATATTTTTATACAATATATAAATATATATCATATATATTTTTATATAATATATAAATATATATATAATATAAACACCCACTACATATATATAATCAAAAATAAAAAATAAAAAAATATATTTTTAAAGATAAATTAGATTGAAAGGAAAAGGACAGAGGGACATGTATCATCCAAATAACAACCATAAGAAAGCCAGAGTGGCTACATAAACATAAGATGGATTTTTTAATGTTACTAGACAACAGTATGACAAGTATATATAGTTGTCATACTGTTGTCTAGTAACATTAAAAATATATACTGTTTGAAGTATATATATAATATATATTTTATATATATTATATATATATACTTCAAAACATCATGTTGTACAAAATAAATACACACAATTGTATTGGTCATTTTTTTATTTTTATTTTATTGTTTATTTATTTATTTTTGATATGGAGTCTCGCTCTGGTGCCCAGGCAGGAGTGCAGTGGCAAGCGATCTCAGCTCACTGCAACCTCCACCTCCCGGGTTCAAGCGATTCTCCTGCCTCAGCCTCCTGAGTAGCTAGGATTACAGGCATGCACCTGTATTTTTGTATTTCTAGTAGAGGCAGGGTTTCACCAAGTTGGTCAGGCTCGTCTCAAACTCCTGACCTTGCAATCCACCTGCCTTGGCCTCCCAAAGTGCTGGGATTATAGGCGTGAGCCACCGTGCCTGGCCTTATTGGTCATTTTTTAAAAAATTAAAATTAAAAGGGACCTTTTTTAATGATAAAGTGGTCAATATATTAGGAAGAAATAACAATTATAAATATATGTTCACCAAAAAACAGAGCCCCAGATCTATGAAGCAAAAATGGACAGAACTGAGAGAATAAATAGAAAATTCAACAATACTAGTGGGAGTCTTAAATTCCCAACTTTCACGATGAGTAGGACAACTAGAAAGAAGATCAACATGGAAATAGAAGACTCAAACCACATTATAAACGAATTTGACCTAACATATCTATAAAATACTCCACAAAACAACAACAAAATACATATTCTCCTTAAGTGTACAAGGAAAATGCTCCACTATAGACCATATTCTAGGCCATAAATCAAGCCACAGTTAATTTAAATAAGTTAAAATCATACCAATAATGTTGTCGGATCATGATAGACTTAAATCAGAAATTTAGAAAATATAAATAAACTTGAGAAATTAACAAATATTTTGAAATTAATACACTACTAAATAACCAATCAGTCAGCCAATAAATAACAAGAGAAATTAGAAAACATTATGAGGTTAATGAAAATGAAGACACAGTACACCAAAATTATGGGATGTAGCTAATATAGTGTTTACATGGAAACAGTAAGAATATAAGTAGTTAATGCTTATATAAAAATATAAGTTCTCAAATTAATAACCTAATGCTCTACCTTCAGACAGTGGAAAAGAAAAGCAAACTAAACCTAAAGCATCATAAGAAAGGATAAAATAAACATTAGAGCTGAATTAATGAAATATATCATAGAAAAAAATAGAGAAAAATCAGCAAAACCAAAAATTGTTTTTTTTAAAATATCAACAAAATTGATACACCTTTACCTGGACTCACCAAGGAAAAGGGAGAAAAAAACCCAAGTAGTTATAAAAGTCAGTAATGAAAGAAGGGACATTCCAACTAACTTTACAGAAATAAAAACGAGTTGTAGATAAATGTTATGAATACTTGTGTGCAAACAGATTGCGTAACCTAAGAGGAAATGGTCAAATCCCTAAAAAGACAAATAAAAATTGGTGAAACTGACTGAGAAAGAAATACAAAGTCTGAATAGGCCTATGACAAGTAAACAGATTAGATTACTAATCAAAAATAAGAAGAAGAAAAACCTACAAAGAAAAGCCAAGGTCTAGATATCTTCACTGGTAAATTCCACAAAATATTTAAAGAAGAATTAACACCAACCCTAGACAAACTCTTCCAAATAATAACAGAGAAGGGAAATCTTCCTGGATCATTCTATAAGGCCAATTTTATCCTGGTATCAAAACCAAAGAAGTCATATAAAAGGAAAATTCCAGATCAGTATATCCTATGAATATAGATGTGAAATTCTTCAAGAAAATAATAGAAAACCAATCCAACTATATATAGCTTCATATATTTATTTTTTTAACCATTTGTTGAAAAGGCAATTCTTTTCTCCCATTGCATTGTCATTGGTTTATATAATAAAACCAACAATGGTTAAATAAAACATATATACACACACACATACAGAGAGAGAGAGAGAGAGAGAGATTTTACACCATAACCTAATGAGATTTATCCCAGTATCCCAGGAATGTAGGGTTAGTTTGACATCAGAAAATCAATTAGCAAAATGAGCATATCAATAAAGAACAAAAACACATGATCAACTCAATGGACACAGAAAAAGCACGTGACAAAATATACAACCAGTCCATGTTAAAAACTATCAACAAACTAGGAATAGAAGAGAAACTCCTCATTCTGATAAACGGCATCTACCAAAGCCCACAGCTAACATCAAGCTTAACAGTGAAAGTTTGTCACTAACGACGATCTTATGCCACCGTAAGATTAGCAAGAAGATAGGATATCTTCTCTCACCATTTCTATTCAACATTGTACAGGAAGTTCTAGCCAAGAAAATTAGGGAAGAAAATGAAATAAAAGGTACCTAGATTAGAAAGGAAAAAGTGAATTATCTCTCATTACATACGACATGCTATTATATATATAGAAAATCCTATGGAACCCACTAATAACAATTAGAACCAATGAACAAATTCAGCAAGCATGCAAGATACAAGATCAATATACAAATATAAATAGTATTTCTATAGAATAGCAATGAAAATTAGAAAATTAAATTAAGAAAATAATTGCATTTACAAAAGCACGAAAAGAGAAAAAAAATACTTAGGAATGAACTAAGAAAGAGGTACAAAACATGCTCTGAAAACCAAACCATTGTTGAAATAAATGAAAGAATACATAAGCAAATGAAAATACACCTCAGAATCAAAGTTCAAAAGATCCAATATTCTTTTTTTTTTTTTTTTTTTTTTTTTTTTTGAGACAGAGTCTCACTCTGTCGCCCAGGCTGGAGTGCAGTGGCGCAATCTCGGCTCACTGCAACCTCCGCCTCCCAGGTTCACGCCCTTCTCCTGCCTCAGCCTCCCAAGTGGCTGGGACTACAGGCGCCCGCCACCACGCCCGGCTAATTTTTTATATTTTTTTAGTAGAGACAGGGTTTCACCGTGTTGGCCAGGATGGTCTGGATCTCCTGACCTCATGATCTGCCTGCCTCAGCCTCCCAAAGTGCTGGGATTACAAGCATGAGCTACCACGCCCGGCCCAAAAGATCCAATATTCTTAAGGTGGCAATACCACCCCCCAAAAAAATTACCTACAAATCCAATGCAATTTCTATCAAAATTCCAGCTTTTCTAACAGAAATTGGTAAGCTAATTCTATTATTCATAAGGAAATGCAGCGGACCCAGAATAGCCAAATAACCTTGAAAAAGAACAAAGTTGAAACTCATACTTTCTGATTTCAAAACTTTCTAAATCAAGAGAGTGTGATGTTGACATAAGATAGACATATGATTCAATGGAATAGAAATTAAATAAACAAACACATTTTTGGTCTGATATGGTTTCGCTCTGTCCCCACCCAAATATCACCTTGAATTGTAATCCCCATAATCCTCACGAGTCAAGGGCGGGACCAAGTGGAAGTAATTGAATGATGGGGGTGGTTTCCCCCATGATGTTCTTGAGACAATGAGTGAGTCTCAGGAGACTGATGGTTTTATAAGCATCTGGCATTTCCCCTGCTGGCTCTCATTTTTCTCCCCTGCTGCTCTGTGAAAAGGTGCCTTCCACCATGATTGTAAGTTGCCTGAGGCCTCCTCAGCCATGAGGAACTGTGAGTCAATTAAATATCTTTTCTTTATAAATTACCCAGTCTCTAGTATTTCTTCATAGCAGCATGAGAACAGACTAATTCATGGTCCATTGATTTTTTTTTCAAAGGTGCCACAGCAATGCAATGGGAGAAAAGAACTGCCTTTTCAACAAGTGGTGATGGGACAATTATGTAGCCATTGGCAAAGAAAATGAAGTTATCTTTATTCAAACCATACATAAAAACTAATTCTAAATGATTAAAGATCTAAATATAAGAGCTAAAACTATACAATATTAGAAGAAAATGTGGAAAACTTTATGACTTTTGATTAACCAATGGTTTCATAGATATTACATCAAAAGTACAATTGAATAAAAAGTTAATTGGTTACATTTAGACTTGATCAAAACTGAAAACCTTTGTTCTTCAAGGAATACTATCAGAAAAATGAAAGGACAACCCACGGGATGGGAGAAAATATTTGCTAATCATATACCTGATAAAGATTTATATCTAGAATATATAAAGAGACCTCGAAACTGAGAAATGAAAAGATAATTCAATTTTAAAATGGGCAAGGACCTCAATAGACATTTTTCCAAGTTATATTTTTCATAAAAATCCACAAATGCTTAATATCATTAGCCATTAGAGAAATACAAGTCAAAATTACAATTTGATGCCCCTTGACACAGACTGGAATGGCTATAATTAAAAAGATAATAACTTTTGGAGAGGATATGAAGAAACTGGAACCTTCATTCATGGCTCATGGCTATGTAAAATGGTGCAACCACTGTGGAAAAGAGTTCAACAGTTTTTCAAAATGTAAAATATTGGATTTACCAAATGACCCAGAAATTCCACTCCTAAGTATACGCTCAAAAGAAATGAAAGCATATGCCCACACAAAAACATGTTTACAGATGTCCATAGTGACTTTATTCATAAAACTCAAAAAGTGAAATCAACCCAATTGTCCACCTATTGATGGATGAGTAAAATTTCAAATGAAATATTATTGGGTTATAAAAAGGAATAAACTGATACTTGCTACTGTGTAAATGAACCTTGAAACTATTATGCTATGTGAAACGTCAGACTTTAAAGACCAAAATATTGTATGATTCCGTTTATATGAAATGTCCAGAATAGACAAATAAATGGAGCTCAAAAGTAGGTTAGTGGTTGCCTAGAGCTGGGAAGGGTTGGAGAAAATGAGGAATAGTTGCTAATGGGTATGGGATTTAATATGGGGGTGATGAAAATATTCTTAAAGTGTTTGTGGTAATAGAGCTGACTTTACATTGATTTCTACATTTTTCTCAACCAAACTCTTGATGACAGTCCATATTTTATATGCTAATTTTGTACTGTTATGAGTGTTAAACTAAATTTGGTCTGAGGATACCTCTATGCTTTGAGTCCCCACATGAACAACTGTAATTAAACTAACTGAAACCCTAACTTCAGGTATTTTAGTAACAAATAGCTGTGTCTCAACCAACCACAGCAACCGAGCTTCAGTCAATCACAGGCAGCCAATTGATCAGTCTAGGTTCAGATAAAGCAAACTAATCAATAAACTGTTTCTATACCTCGTTCCATTTTCTGTCCATAAATGCTATCTGCCCACATTTCGGAGCAGAGGTCTCTAAACCTCTTTTCGTTCTGTGAGCTGCTCAATTCACAAACTATTCTTTGCTCAATTAAACTATGTGACATTTAATCATCTAAAATTTTTATTTTAACATAAGTTAAACACATTGAAGGGTATTACACTAAAAATGTTTGTCTCTACACTTTCCAAAATTGTGTTCTCTGTATGCTATACCACCTGACTGGATCCAGGTCAACCCTCTATGGACAGAATCAGAGCATACGCAGGCTGTACCGGAGCTCACCCTGCAAGAGACTAGGAATAAACCTCTGCAGTGGGACTCCCGGGTGTCCAAGACTACTCCTAGCAATAGTCCAGGGACTTCCAGGGAGCTGACTGGGTGGGCCTTTACAAGCCAATCAGCACATCCCATCTCCCACACCACACTGATTGGTTTGGGGATAATCAAGTGATTCAGTTCTGGCCAATGAGCTGTGAGGATATTTGCTCAGGTCTTCTGGGACAGAAGCTCCTCCCTGCCCTCCTGCAGAATTTAAGGCCGAGTAGCACCTGCCGCTCTAAGTTCAGTGCTGCTCTGGGCTCAGTGGTCCCAGGTCACCGGGACTGGAGCTGTTGCTGCCTGAGGAGGAGGCAGGAGGTCAAAGAGAAGACCCACTTCTGATGGGTAGCAGGGGAGGGATAAGAGCTCTGACAACATTGGTTATGGAAGCCCCAGATACCGAAATGCCTGATGCTGGAGTATACCTGTATGTGCACAGATGCACACACTAGCACACAACGTGTGCATGCTCACATATATAAGCACACATACAAACATGCATACACTCACATGTGCTGGCACACATGCACACATGTGCATTCTGGCCCACACATATACATGCACCCACATTATCTACATAGTAGCTAGCATGCACACAGCTGTACGCTCATGTGTGCACACATATTCACACATACATTCATACCTATAATCACACTAATACGTGTACACACATATGCACACATCATCTTTCCCTGTCGCATGAGCAAAAAAAAAAAAAAAAAGGAAAGAAATCAGTCCTTGCCCTGCTAATTTTAGTTGAATTCCTGTCATCTACAATAAAAAGAGTCTTCACCTTTTCATTCATATTTTAACTCATGGAGAGTCATGTTCTCCATTGACTGAAATCTGAACTGTTCATATTTTCCCTATGTTAGATTCCACATAGAGGACACAATATCTCTCGGGTCACCAACCCTTTCTATCCCCACCCACTTTCTACCCTTTAATTGTATTTCAGCAAAATATACGACATACAATACATTGTTCCCTTCAGCTTTTCATATCTCTCCCTCAATGTTCAAATTTACTGTCACACGTTATCCATTTCCACCAAAATACTGCCATCATTTTTACCCTCTTGTTTCTGATGCCAGCTTTCACAATGTATCATACATCATCAGTCTTTGCTGCCCATATCTAATTCTTCCAATTTCTTTGGTTCATCTTCTCAATACAAAATAATTTCCTCTCTCATCTTCTTCAGTCAGTCGGCTTGGATCTGAAACCTAAAACCTGGGGGATGGTGAACCAACATCCTTATTCTCTTTGCCTCAGCTGCCATATCTGTAATGTGGAGATCAGAACCCCTAACATATAAGCTTGTCTTGCATGAAAAGTACTTAAGAAAGTGTAGGGCTCAATAACAATTAAGTAGTATGTTGAAATTGTTAGTAATGACTCTACTTACAGAGTACAGACGCCCACTGAAAATTAAGAGGAGAGATTTTTCATACTAATATAGGGAATTCTGCTCAACTGACATGCTGACAGTGCTAGAACCTCACCAATGACTGGAACCAGGAAACAGGTAACCAGGCCTGTCTCTCTGCCTCTCAGCTCTGCTCCTCTCTTTGCTTTCTTTTTCTCACTCTGTGGAATGATTAATTCTGCTCTTCCATGCACATGGCAGACACAATATAGAGACTTGTTGCAGTTGCCACCAACACTAACTTATTTCAAATCATAGAGTCTGATTGGTCCAGCTCAGCCGGTTAACTGTCCAATCAGTACCAAGGGAATGTGTCCCGATATAAAGATGATTGCTAACCACCCACTCACATGTGTGAGCAGAGATGAGAGGAAGCAATTATCAGGAAGAAAGGGAAAAAAGAAAGATAATTATCTCAACGTGGGAAGACTGCCCAGAAGGTGTCTGCTGTGTTGATATAATTAAGTGAACACGATTTTCAAACTGGCTGCTTTCTCATTAGTGATGATTGATGCCATATTCACATTCATATGGGCCAAGAATCACCCAAGCAACAGTTTTTCCTTTTGTGTTTCTTAGTCCAAACTTCCACTCTTTAATAACCACCACCTCTTCTGTCACCCCCAAACAGTTTTGTGCACAAACTTTCTTTCCTTGTGCACTAAAGCGGGTCAGATGGCTTGAAATTCTCTGGTTGTCTGTCATAGAATCTCCCTCATGGAACCTGGCTACATGCCTATGAGAACTTAATCAGCCATGATTTTGAAAGCAAATTGTCTGCCACAAAGTGCCAGGCACTACATTCCAGAGTTATCTTCCCTATTCACAAACAAAGATTTCAGAAAGTGTTCCTTCCTTTGGTTGCCTACAAAAACGAAAAAATCCTCTACAGGAGAATATGCTCCACCACATCCAAGGAGCTCCTGGCATGATTCATATTGCACCTTGTGGAAACATGTTCAAACATTTGCTCATCAATTTATTTATTTTTTTTATTTTACTTTAAGTTCTGGGATACAAGTGCAGAACGTGCAGGTTTGTTACATAGGTATATGTGTGCCATGGTGCTTTGCTGCACCTATCAACCTGTCATCTAGGTTTTAAGCCCTGCATGCATTAGCTATTCGTCCCAATGCTCTCCCTCCCCTCCCCCACAACCCCCCAACTGGCCCCGGTGTGTATTGTTCCCCTCCCTGTATCCATGTGTTCTCACTGTTCAACTCCCACTTATGAGTGAAAACATGTGGTGTTTGGTTTTCTGTTCCTGTGTTTGTTTACTGAAGATGATGGCTTCCAGCTTCATCCATGTCCCTGAAAAGGACACAGTCTCATTCCCTTTTATGGCTGCATAGTATTCCATGGTGTATATGTGCCACATTTTCTTTATCCAGTCTATCATTGATGGGCATTTTGGTTGGTTCCATCTCTTTGCTATTGTAAATAGTGCTGCAATAAACATATGTGTGCATGTGTCTTTATAGTAGAATGATTTACATTCCTTTAGGTATATACCCAGTAATGGGATTGCTGGGTCAAATGGTATTTCTGGTTCTAGATCCTTGAGGAATCACAGCACTGTCTTCCACAATGATTGAACTAATTTACATTCCCACCAACAGTGTAAAATTGTTCTTAATTCTTCACAGCCTCGCCAGTCTCCATTGTTTCTTGACTTTTTAAGAATTGCCATTCTGACTAGCATGAGATGGTATCTCATTGTGGTTTTGATTTGCATTTCTCTAATGATCAGTGATGTTGAGCTTTTCTTCATATATTTGTTGGCTGCATAAATGTCCTCTTTCGAGAAGTGTCTGTTCATATCCTTTGCCCACTTTTCAATAGGGTTGTTTTTTTCTTGTAAATTTGATTAAGTTCTGAAGATTCTGGATATTAGATCTTTGTCAGATGGGTAGATTGCAAAAAGTTTATCCCATTCTGTAGGTTGCCTGTTCACTCTGATGATAGTTTCTTTCGCTGTGAAGAAGCTCTTTAGTTTAATTGGATCCCATTTGTCAATTTTTGTTTTTGTTGCAATTGCTTTTGGTGTTTTCATCATGAAGTCTTTGCCCATACCTATGTCCTGAATGGTATTGCCTAGGTTTTCTTGTGGGGTTTTTATGGTTTGGGGTTTCACATGTAAGTCTTTAATCCATCTTGAGTTAATTTTTGTATAAGGTGTAAGGAAGGGATCCAGTTTTAGTTTTCTGCATATGGCTAGCCAGTTTTCACAGCACCATTTATTAAATGGGGAATCCTTTCCCCATTGCTTTTGTCAGGTTTGTCAAAGATCAGATGGTTGTAGATGTGGTGTTATTTCTGAGGTCTCTATTCTACTCCATTGGTCTATATGACTGTTTTGGTACCAGTACCATGCTGTTTCAGTTACTGTAGCCTTGTAGTATAATTTGAAGTCAGGTAGCATGATGCCTCCAGCTTTGTTCTCTTCACTTAAGATTTTCTTGGCTATACAGGCTCTTTTTTGGTTCCATATGAAATTTAAAGTAGTTTTTGCTAATTCTGTGAAGAATGTAAATGGTAGTTTGATGCAAATAGAATTAAATCGATAAATTACTTTGGGCAGTATGGCCATTTTCACGATATTGTTTCTCTCTATCCATGAGGATGAAATGTTTTTCCCTTTGTGTACTCTTATTTCCTTGAGCAGTGGTTTGTAGTTCTCCTTGAAGAGGTCCTTCATATCCCTTTTCAGCTGTATTCCTATGTATTTTATTCTCTTTGTAGTAACTGTGAATGGGAGTTCATTCATGATTTGGCTCTCTGTCTATTGTTGGTATATAGGGATGCCTGTGATTTTTGCATATTGATTTTGTATCCTGAGACTTTGCTGAAGTTGCTTATCAGCTTAAGGAGTTTTTGGGCTGAGATGCTGGGGTTTTCTAAAAATATAGAATCATGTCGTCTACAAACAGAGACAATTTGACTTCCTCTCTTCCTATTTGAATACGCTTTATTTCTTTCTTTTGCGTGATCGCCCTGGCCAGAACTTCCAACACTATGTTAAATAGGAGTGGTGAGAGAGGGCATTCTTGTCTTGTGCTGGTTTTCAAAGGGAATGCTTCCAGCTTTTGCCCATTCAGTATGATACTGGCTGTGGGTTTGTCATAAATAGCTCTTATTATTTTGAGATATGTTTCATCAATACCTAGTTTATTGAGAGTTTTTAACACGAAGGAGTGCTGAGTTTTATCGAAGGCATTTTCTGCATCTATTGAGATGATCATGTAGTTTTTGTCATTGGTTCTGTTTATGTAATGTATTATGTTTATTGATTTGCATATGTTGAACCAGCCTTGCATCCCAAGGATGAAGCCGACTTGATCACGGTAGATAAGCTTTTTGATGTGCTGCTAGATTCGGTTTGCCAGTATTTTATTGAGGATTTTCACATCGATGTTCATCAGGGATATTAGCCTGAAATTTTCTTTTATTGTTGTGTCTCTGCCAGGTTTGGGTATCAGGACGATCCTGGCCTCATTAAATGAGTTAGGGAGGAGTCCCTCCTTTTCAATTGTTTGGAATAGTTTCAGAAGGAATGGGACCAGCTCCTCTTTGTATCTCTGGTAGAATTCGGCTGTGAATCTGTCTGGTTCTGGGCTTTTATTGGTTGATAGGCTATTAATTACTGCCTCAATTTCAGAACTTGTTATTGGTCTATTCAGGGATTTGACTTCTTTCTGGTTTAGTCTTGGGAGGGTGTATGTGTCCAGGAATTTATCCATTTCTCCCAGATTTTCTAGTTTATTTGCATAGAAGTGTTTATAGTATTCTCTGATGGTAGTTTGTATTTCTGTGGGGTCAGTGGTGATATCCCCTTTATCATTTTTTATTGTGTCTATTTGATTCTTCTCTCTTTTCTTCTTTATTAGTCTAGCTAGTGGTCTATCTAATTTAATTTTTTCAAAAATCGAGCTCCTGGATTCATTGATTTTTTTGAAGGGTTATTCATGTCTCTATCTCCTTCAGTTCTGCTCTGATCTTAGTTATTTCTTGTCTTCTGCTAGCTTTTGGATTTGTTTGCTCTTACTTCTCTAGCTCTTTTAAGTGTGATGTTAGGGTGTTGATTTGAGATCTTTCTAGGTTTCTAATGTGGGCATTTAGTGCTATAAATTTCCCTCTTAACACTCCTTTAGCTGTGTCCCAGAGATCCTGGTACATTGTCTCTTTGTTCTAATTGGTTTCAAAAAACTTCTTGATTTCTATCTTTATTTCATTATTTCCCAGGAGTCATTCAGGAGCAGGTTGTTCAATTTCCATGTAGTTGTGTGTGGTTTTGAGTGAGTTTCTTAATCCTTAGTTCTAATTTGATTTCACCGTGGTCTGAGAGACTGTTAAGATTTCAGTTCATTTGCATTTGCTGAGGAGTGTTTTACTTCCAATTATGTGGCTGATTTTATAATAAGTGCTATGTGGCACTGAGAAGAATGTATATTCTGTTGATTTGGGGTGGAGAGTTCTGTAGATGTTTATTAGCTCCACTTGATCCAGAGCTGAGTTCAAGTCCTGCATATCCTTTTTAACTTTCTGTCTCGTTGATCTGTTTATTATTGACAGTGGGGTGTTAAAGTCTCCCACTATTATTGTGTGGGAGTCTAAATCTCTTTGTAGGTCTTAAGAACTTGTTTTATGAATCTGGGTGCTCCTGTATTGGGTGCATATATATTTAGGATAGTTAGCTCTTCTTGTCGAATTGATCCCTTTACCATGATGTAATGCCCTTCTTTGTCTTTTTTTTATCTTTGTTGGTTTGAAGTCTGTTTTGTCAGAGACTAGGATTGCAACCCCTGCTTTTATTTCTTTCCATTTGCTTGGTAAATTTTCCTCCATCCCTTTATTTTGTTCCTCATCAATTTAGACACGATGTCATTTCACATAATGATGTGGAACATGGGACAGAAAATGCCCAAACACCAAATATGAAAGTTTGATTTATTACATTGAACAAAGTGGGCATTCATTAAATGCTGCCTTGAAAAATTGAATGAATCAATCAACAGGCAAAAAGATTCACATTTATTCATTTACTCAGTTAATATGCCCAGGATTAGATGCTGTGGATGCAGATATAAACAATGGACCCTGCCCTCATGGGTCTCACTTTCTACTGTGAGAGACAGATAAACAAATAACAAGTTGACAAGCAAACGGAGCAACATGTAAACAAGTCAATAAATAAACACAGTATAGTAATGTCAGCCAGTGGCAGGTGGTACAAAAGAAATGGAAAAGTGGAATGGAGAGAGTCAAAGCAGGGACTGGCCAGAGGTGAAGGAAAGAGTGGACTTGTGATGGATGATGATATGCTTCTATTTCTGCTGAGTCTTTTCAACTACATTGTCTCATGTTTCTTATTGGGCTCCCTTAATTAGTCCAGTGTTTTCTGTGTCTTGGATAGACAGAAGAGAATTCTTCAAGGGCTCTTTCCTCCCTCCAATTCATCCCTCACACTGTTGCCAAAATCACATTTATTTTCAGTTAATTTTCTAAAATTCTCACTCTATAAAATAAAATCCTCCAATGATGATAGCATAAAACCCAAACTCCTTGCCTTGGCTGAAATAACCATCACAATCTAGCCCCCACCTGTCCACCCATTGTCGCCTCCTAACTCATCCCTTATTACCTATGCACCTCTGCCAGAGAGCTGTGCTTTTGTTGACTTCTGCCAAGAGGACATTTCTTTTAATTGACTACCTGATGAACTGCTATGTAATCATCAAGACCAAAAGTAAGTTTTCCCCACTCACCAAATAGAGTATAGTCATTCCTGGCGCTAAGCTTACTTCCCTTCCACAGCTGAATTCTGAAAAAAAGGCCCAGGTAACTCAGACCATGTCTCTTTTTCCAGATTTCCCAGACTCAATGGTTAAGTTTGAGAACACATTCGAACCTTTAACATCTAAAACAAAAACTCCTGCAGAAGGGATCTTGCTTCATTGATTTCCCAAGCAACTTCTACTACTTCTTTATTTTGTCCTGAATCCCTGCCACAGAATGAGCATGGGACCCAAGCATGATCGTTCAGCTCCCACACACCCTACACCACTCACCAGCCCATCCCCACCCTCAATTCTCACCATAGGCCACACAGAGAGCGTAAGAGTCAGATTTATGTTAAGCTGGCTAGGGCCCTTCCCCAAAAGTTTTTCAACAAAGATGGTTGGAAAGATTTTTTCCTCCCTGTATTAATCCATTCTCACACTGCTAACAAAGACATACCTGAGACTGGGTAATTTATAAAGAAAAAGAGGTTTAAGGGACTCACAGTTCCACATGTCTGGGGAGGCCTCACAATCACGGCAGAAGGTGAAGAAGGAGCAAAGGCACATCTTACATGGCAGCAAGCAAGAGAAGTGTGCAGGGGAACTGCCCTTTATAAAACAATCAGATCTCGTGAGACTTATTCAGTATCACCAGAAGAGCATGGGAAAAACCCACACCCCTGATTCAGTTACCTCCCACTAGGTCCCTCCTATGACACATGAGGATTATGGGAGCTATAATTCAAGATGAGATTTGGGTGGGGACACAGCCAAACTATGTTGCTCCCTCACTACAAAGATCTACAGATGTGACTTGAAGCTGATTATGACTGTGATCACTGCTTTGAGGATAAGCTGGTCTGCAAGAAGGAAATTGATGCATGGAAACAAGAAACACAAAGTATCCTGACATAGATCCATTTTCTGGTTCCTGCCATCCCCAAGACCCCAGCCTTCCCCTAAGTTGCTTCTAAGAACCAGCACACCCCCTCTATTAGGGGAATTTGAGGTAGTTCAACCTCAGCACTCATAACCAGGAGTCATGATTAACACATCTTTACCTCAGACTCTGAGGCGCAATGCTCAGCCCCTTTGCATGTGGCAATGGATCATGTAAGGTTTGCATGTCAACCCCACAAAACATCCATCCTATTAAAGGAAAGTTTTCATCTGAAAGAAATGATTTTCATTTGCACATTAGTTTTCATTGGCACCTTTTCTATATTGATTTGTTTCTATTCTTCTAGGTGTCCCAGTCCCATCTTTGATTAACTCTTGGCACTCTTGGGGCTATTAGCCCCAACTTACTGAGACAACTCTGTAAAGAATTCATGTTTTAGGCAAGTTGCAGATGGCATATTGATTTACACTGAAAGACCCTTCCTCAGTGATAGTATCATGACTTTGTTGCTGCCTCGATTGTCTCACAGGCCATGGTCCCTGAACTTTTGTGGATTGGGGCAGGTTAATTTTTCAATGATTCCACATTCCATGTTCAATGAACACGTGTCACCTCTTACAGATCAGTCTGAAGGGAAATCTTTATTAGCAGTGAAAGACTTCCTTTCCTCAATGTATCCCATCTGTATTGTTCTGTGTGTTCACTTCATCTTCATTAAAATAATGGCGTGTAATTGCTGTGTCAAGGCAATGATTTCAGTTTGTTTATGCAGTGCTATCGACATTTCTAGAGGGCCAGGGTTTCCTTCTAGGGTTCTGATCAAACACAGCTTCCTTCATCATAGCAGTTCTCTAGCTTTACTTGTACAATTCATGTCAGCCTTAATCTCCGTAATCCTCCCACATCCTACACACCACAAACGCTCCCATTGCCAATTCTGAATCCTTAGGATTCATTAAGTCTTTACTAAACTCTAAAGATCACATTTATGGTGGCAGCACACAGGAAAATACAGATTGTGGAATAAAGTGAACCTGGACTCAAGCTCCATGTGCCTTGATTCATACCTGCATGACCTTGGACACCTAACTCTCTAAACTTTAGCAATGGAGAAAATATTTCTGTTATCTGAAGAGGCCACTGTGACATCTACTTGAAATGGCCAGTGCAAAGGACACTGGAGGGGAATGACAGGCACCCGGCAGGCACTGGACAAATCTGAATTCTCCATCTCTGTCTCTTATGAAGCTGCTGAAAAGAAAGAACAATCTGTAAAACTTTGAGAGCTCTCATTGAGTGATTTCTTTAAAAATGAAAAAATCACTCATGAATTTAATATTTTTGAATACATACAATGAGCCCAGTGCTGTAATATACAAAGATAGATACAGTGCCTGCTTGCTCATGCTGATTTATTGTTACACAACATGCCTTGATAGGTTTGAAGAGGAATTCTCCTTGCAGTTCTAAGAGAGTTAGAAATTACAAGTGTCTTTTTGAGGGAGGCAGGCCAAGTGCCTCCACACCTATCCAAGAGATGAACAACCTGAAGCCAGGCACATTAAGCACTCAGCTATGTAACACAGCACGAAAATGGCAAGGCAGGAGCTGAAAACCAGCCTTCAGATGCCCAGCCAGTGGGTTTTTTATCAATTTTTCTTTTGGGAACACAATATATTTAACATGAAAACAATTAGAAGATACTTTAAGACCAAGTAATAATTGTAATGATGAATATTAACAATTATTGATTGCATATTCTGTGCCAGAAACTCTACCAGGAATTTTAAATATGCTGTCTTCTTTATTATACATGACTTATTTATGAAACCAAAATTCTTTCACTCCATGTACCTGGCCAAAGTCCCATCTCTCCCAGCCAGAGCCATGGTGCATGCTCTAGTATCAGAGCTGGCAACTGCTGCAGGGTCTTCAGTGTTATTTTGTCACCTAGGGACACTTTCAATAAAAGCACATGGGAAGTCACTGTCCCTACATGTGGCCTTCAGACATAGATGTCTCAGCACATAGCCATCTAGGGCTCTGCCTACAACTGTGCTTCTATGAAAAGAAGTCAGACTGTAACTCAAATATTTGTCATTTGTTAGACACAAAGGATGTCAAGAAATTGTGTGAAATACTTATTCATCTCTCTGTTCTCGGAAACATATACTCTTGGGAGTGACATGGTTGACATTCTTGAGGACAGAAAGTGTTCAGTAGTTCAGGGCATCAAAAGATTATTTTATCACGGCAATCACTTGGGGCTGAGGCCTTTACTCTTTAAAAAAAGGCTTGTTAAACTGGACTTTAGAAGTGGTAACAAACACAGGAAACATTTTGAGGAGGGGCCCTTTAAGGCTAATCCAACATTGCAAGGAGGAACAGAAAATCAGACAAAGTGATTTAAGAGCTAAGATTTTTCTCTCAGCATTTCAAGTTAAATGTTGAATGTCTGGATGGCAAATAAAGAGCAGTTTAGAAAATGTAGTCAGAACAGAAGGAATAAATTGGGTATATGAGTAGAAATGATCTTTTGCTTCTGGAAGCCCACCCCTCTTGACAATGGAATGGAAAAGAGAAGCACACATTTGTTTAATAGGAGGCTGTGTAATCCACTTCGTCTACCCCCTGAGAAGGCTCATCCCATTGTTTTCAGCTGAGACAGAATCTTTATTGCCACCAGCTGCAAAAGGCAGTGTGAACTTCTGAAAGTCCATATCCGTTTAGTGATATAAATCAATAAAACACTAATAAACTGCTCATTCTAAACCCCCTGAGTATCTGGGGAGAACATGGGAGACTCTAAGAGTCTCTTATCTATGCCCATCACATCTCTGTTAGTACAAGTAACTCTTGGCTGGAAAAGGAGTTCTACCTCCTGTTTCATTCTTTTCATGTTCATTAGTTCCTGACATGAGTGAGTTTCTCTGTGGACATTTGAAATATTTAAGAGAAAAAAAGAGGACATGTGTTTGTCTGTGAAAAGTAATCTTAACCACTCAGGGTAAAGTTAGTTTGTGGATAGTCCAAGAGTAGGGAGAAAAAAAAAAAAGCCGCCCTGAGAAATAAGCATGAAATTGCTCCAATGGGGCTGGGTTCAATGTGAAATTTCACTCTCTTTAATGCAGTGGTCTAGAACCTGCTGGACTCTTTTGTAAGAACTACCAAGGCTCAAATCCCAGCCCTAGCACTTACCAGCTAGGTGATCTCCATTTAGGTGATAGTGATTAACTTCCCTGTGCATCAGATATCTTGTCTGTAAAATGTGGATCCTCACAGTCAGGCCTCACAGGATTATTTTGAGTATCATTGGTTGGTGCAAACGTAATTGCGATTTTTGCCTTTTTTTGATAGCAGAAACCACAGTTACTTTTGCACCAACCTAATATATGAACTGATACATGTGAAGAGCTTAGGTGCTGAGCACATAGCAAGTGCTCAATAAACGCTAGTTATTATCACATACAAAGCCTGTCTCTGAGGTTCATTTTGAAAAGCAAATTTCCCCAAATCCCCCGGAAAGTGATGGCTGAGGTAGGTTTAAATGCCACATCCACTGGACTCTGAAGCCCCCTTTCCATGAGCAGCGACATTAATTGCTGGCACCAATAAGCTCCACCATTAGCCTACATTCAAGTCTATTCATAGAGCACCTAACTCATGCCAGGTGCAGTGCTAGTGACGGGAAGAACTAATGAGGAAGAGCAATAGGTCCCTCCCCCTTCATGGAGCTGCCAGCTAAGGGCAAAGAAAGCTCAACAGGGCAATAAACCAGCACATTATAATACATCTGCCATGACATCAAAACTGCCTCTCAATAGCACTTGCTCAATACATGCATGTGGGAGAGAACTGAGTAGGAAGAGGTTGACTCTAAGGAAAGGCTGATCTACACTGAGTTCCCGTCATGCCTTTTGTTTGTCCATGGGAATGGCATCCATTCATTCTTCTAGCTGACATTTCCTGAGAACACTGAGCTCAACAGGCAGGGTGGGAGCTGATGAGGTTGAAAAAAAATTGATAAATTCAACCTCATCAAAATGAAAAACTTCTGCTCCTCTAAAGACCCTATTAGAGTATGAAAACACAAACCACAATATGGAATAACATATTTTCAAATATAACGTATTTTCAAATCACATATTGGATAATGAACTTGTATCCAGAATATAAAAACAACTCTCAAGACTCAATAATGTTTTTACAATAACCTAATTTAAAAGATTTAAACAGCAACTTCACCAAAATCAGTAGATGGCAAAATGGCACACTGAAAAGATGCTCAACATCAGTAATCGCTAGGGATATGCAAATTAAAACCAAAATTACAAACCTCTATAAATCCAATAGGAAGGCTAATATTAAAAAGACTGATCATACTAAGTGCTGGCCAAGATGTGGAGGTAACAGGACTCTCAAATCCTGATAGTGGGAAAGTAAAATGGTGTAACCACTTTAGAAAACAGTTTGGCAGCTTCTTAAAAAGTTAAAAATACACTTAATATGATACAACCTTTCTGTTCCTAAGAAGTGAAAGCTATGTCCAGACAAAGGCTGGCTTCAATGTTTATCGCAGCATTAGTTGTAAGATCCCCAAATTAGAAACAACCCAGATGTCCATCAATAGATTGATAAACAGTGATATATTCAAACAGTGGAATACTACTCAGTAATAAAAAGGAATGAATTATTGTTACACATAACATGGGTGAATGTCAAATTAACTGGATGGAAGAAGCAAGAGCAAATAAGGAAAGACAGGGAGCATACATTATGATTCTATTTGCCTCAGACTTTATAAAATGAAAATCTTCAGTGAGAAAGAGAAGATGAGTGGCTATCTGGGAACAAGTGGAGAGGGGCAGAAGAGAGGAGATTATAAAGGGACATGAAGAAAGTTCAGAAGTTAAGGATATGTTCACTATTTTGATTTTGGTGATAATTTCACACTCATGAAATCGTCAAAACTAATCAAATTGCAGACTTTAATATGTGAAGTTTACTGACTGTTACACCTCTATAAAGCTGTTACAAAGAAAAATAGTAGAGGTGGCAGTAGCCTCACACATTGCCTTTGTACCTAGATCCATTCATACCGTTGTCTACATCTTATAATTATGTGATCTACTTAATTTATAAAGTTTTTTAATTTGAGTTTCTTCAGGAAACCAAATGAACTTGAATATGAAGCTGACATTTTTTCAAGCATCAAAGCTGCAGGGCAGGAGTCTAAATTGTGAACCAAGTACCCAAACATGAATGAGAGTCCCCTTCCCTCCTAGTTAACACAAAATAAGTATGTCTCTGGGAAATAGAGGACCCTAGAGCCATATTGGATCAGGCCTGATATCCCAGACACTTTCACACGCCAATTCTCTAGTAATCCCCTAACCTCAGACCTAAGCAGGGCCTGGATGGAGAAGACTAGATGGAAGGCTTCTAGAAGAGAAGAGAAGGAAGCACATGGCCATGTTTACTGGGCAGGTGGAGCTGGGAGGCTTGCAGGTTTACACTGGCTCATTCCAAGATTTCCCTGAATTATGCAGAAACAATTCCAGAGTGTTGGTTCTTAATTAGAGATGCCAAAGACAGAAATGAACAAATGATCTAATTAATACTGCAATCATAATGAGGCTGACAGGAACAAAAGGTTGAGAATGCAGCAATATCTATCCCAGGCCAACAGGAAATATATGACACATCTCCAATTAGAACAGAACAATAAAAGTCCAAATTACCAGCATAAAGAAGGACAAAATTAGGCAATAACATCCAAACTGCCTGACAACTTATTCTTAGCTGCGCAGCTCCCAGTGATGGGCAAAGGAAAGGAAATTCATGCCCAGAAATAGAATAATGGTGTTTTTACATAAATTTTTGTCAAGCGTTGCTAAAGGGGAAAGAAATAGCCTTAAATCTCTTTTGAATTTTTCTGTATGTTCTTCTAAGTAAAATTCGGATTAGTCTTAGGCAGCTGGATTTGGGTTTCTGTGACTTGCTACAACAAAAACAAAACCAATACGCACCAATGCAGAAATTCCACTTGTTCCTGCCTTAGATCCCACTACCTACCACACTTGTTCGTCTCCTCTACCTGAATAGTCATGTATGTTGCTCAGTGACATCAGCTCAGGTGCGCCTCTCTAAGGACCACATTCAGCACACATCCACATTCCATCTCACCCTCTCTGTAAACACAACCACTTAAGGAAACTTTGATCATATAGAGTTTTGTAGGTGCTGCTGCACATTACCCCAAGAAATGCAGCCACTCTCTGGAAGATGCTGATGTTTTCCAGACTGCTGATGTTTTCCATCAGGCTTTATCTAGTGACCAGCTCCCCACACACTGCTCAGCAAACAGCAAAAACTTTAGTTTTTTTTTTCTGACATCCACTGCCTTACCTTACCCCTCACAGACCAAGTTTGGAAACAAAGTCCTTCCCTGGGACAGGGAAGGCTTTAAAATATTAATGTCCCTTTATTAGCCATTTAACATCTCATTATTTCAAGTCCAGTGATACTGGAAGGCCAGAAACTTAATTATTGCAGCCATAAGTTGGAAAGCACCATCTTCAAGATCCATGTGAGCTTATACTTATTTATCTGCAAGTGTGAAAGAGTTCATCCCCCACTGAAGAGGCATGACTGGCTTCTGTGGTTCTGAAAACCACAATTCATTTACAAACAATACAACTGCAAATGCATGAAAACATGAAGCCATCCTGAAGTAAAAAAGATAGACACATAAAGATTAAATCATAATTACAGTATGAACATTGCCTTTTCTTTCTTTTTCCAAAGATCTTAAAAAAGACTCAGCAAAGAAAAGAATACACACTGTGGCAGGCAGCATAAAGTCACCTCCTCCCAGAAGATATCTCTGCCCTAAACCCCAGAACTTGAAAATATCTACCTTACACAGTAGGGTGGGTTGAATTGTGGCCCCAAAAAAAGATATGGCCAAGTCGAAACCCCCAGCACCTGTGAATGTGATCTTATTTAGAAAAAGGGTATTTGCAGATGCAATTTCAATGATCTCAAGAAGAGACCATCCTGAATTAGGACGGCCCCTAAATCCAATGACAGGTACCCTTATAAGAAAAGAGGGTCATACAGAGACACAGGGGTGAGACCATGCAACCACAGAGGCAGAGATTACAGTGATGCTGCCACAAGCCAAGGAACACCCAGGGCCACCAGAAGCTGGAAGAGGCAAGGAACGATTCTCCTCTAGAGCCTTTAGAGGGACTGGAGTCCTGCTGACACCTTGATTTCAGATTTCTGGCCTCCAGAACTGCGAAAGGACAAATTTCTATTGGTTTAAGCCATCAAGTTTGTGGTAACAGTTCTAGGAAACTAATACCTTTGTCAAAAGGACATCACAGATGTCATTAAGTTAAGGATCTTGATATGGATTATCTTGTGGCCCCCAAAGTAATCACAAGGGTCCTTGTAAGAGGGAGGCAGCAGGGTCAGAGTCAGAGAAGGCGATGTGATGATGGAATTAGCCATGTGGGGAAGAGAGAGAGAGTTGGAGATGCTACGCTGCTGGCTTTGAAAATTGAGGAAGGGTTCACAGCTTCACAGCCAAGAAACACACATGGCCTCTAGAAGTTGGAAAAGGCAAAGAAACAGATTCTCCCCTAGAGCTTCCAGAAGGAATGCAGCCGTACTGACCTATTTTAGACTTCTGACCTCCAGAACTGTAAGATACATGTTGTTCCAGGTGATACGGATTAAAAAATGAAAATACATCTTTTGCAAATTCAAAAAAAGTCCACTATCAATTCATTCCCTGATGGGAAAATCATAGGAACAATATTTGGCTACTAGCTCATAGAAACACCAGCGTGCCACTCCCCACCGCAACACACACACACACAAACACACACACACACACGCGGGCGTGCATGCGTACACACAATGCCCTACATAACCTTCAAGAGTGACAATTTTAGATGTACAGAGGTTGAGGTCATAGGATCTGGGGCTGACCTCCTAGGTGGGAACTCTCACCCCTGTATCCACTAGAACTTGAGCTACAGCACCTTCTAGATGCCACTTCCTCATGTATAAACTTCGAATAGTAGTATTACCTGTCTTAAAAGCTTGTTGTGAAGATGCAATGGGTCAACACTTCTAATGCTCTTATTATAATGGTACCTGGTACTTAATAAATGCTCAATAAATGTTACCTATTAATACTCATTAGCTGTAGTAAGCTCCTACGGATAGAAGTCATATGCATTACACCTTTATATCTCCCAAAGCTGTTTATATATTGCCCTCCACAAGTGGATGATTAGGAAGTATTTGTGAAGTCCCATGAGAACAAAAGACGATTTGGATAGGATCAGGTCCAAGTCTTTACCCGATGCCAAATCCCTTTGACTACAGGGAACCTTCTACCTTTTTGAAGATTTTCAGTAACAGAAAATTCACTGACAATGTTCTGATAAAGGTGTAACAGCCATTTGTGCATAGTATCTTGTTCCATCTCTGGGAAGCTCTAGCATTCATTCATTCAATATTCAACAAATATTTACTGTGTTCCAGATACAGTGCTTAGGACTGGGAAAAGAATAGTTAGTAAAATAGACATAATCATAGATATTGTGGACCTTACAATCAAGTAGCAGTTAACATTCATGGATATGAATGTGGACGTTGTGTTAGGCCATTCTTGCATTGCAATAAGGAAATCCCTGAGGCTGGATAATTTAGATAGAAAAGTGATTTAACTAGCTCACAGTACCCTCATCTGCTTCTGGCAAGGACCTCAGGAAGCTTACAATCATGGCAGAAGGCAAAGGGAGAGCAGATGGCCCACATGGTCAGAGAGGGAGTGAGGAGGTGCCACACACTTTTAAACAACCAGGTCTCATGTGAACTCACTCATCACCAAGGGGACAGCACTAAGCCATTCATGAGGGATCCGCACCTATGACCCAAACACCTCCCACCAGGCCCCACCTCCACCACTGGGGATTACATCTCAACATGAGATTTGGAGGCTGATATGGTTTGGATCTGTGTCCCCACCAAATCTCATGTTGAATTGTAATCCCTAATGTTGGAGGTGGGGCCTGGTGGAAGGTGATTGGATCATGGGGGCAGATTTCTCATGAATGATTCAGCACCATCCCACTTAGTACTGTCCTCACGATAGATGGTGAGTGACTTCTAATGAGATCTGGTCATTTAAAAGTGTGTGGCACCTTCCTCTGCCCTGCTTGCTCCTGCTCCTGCCATGTAAGATGTGTCTGCTCCTCCTTCATCTTCTGATATGGCTGTAAGTTTCCTAAGGCCTCCCAAGAAGCTGAGCAGATCAGAACCATGCTTCCTGTATAGCTTGTGAAACCATGAGCCAATTAAACCTCTTTTCTTTATAAGTTACCCGGTCTCAGGTATTTCTTTTTTTTTTTTTTTTTTTTTTTTTGAGACGGAGTCTCGCTCTGTCACCCGGGCTGGGGTGCAGTGGCGCAATCTTGGCTCACTGCAAGCTCCGCGTCCCGGGTTCACGCCATTCTCCTGCCTCAGCCTCCCGAGTAGCTGGGACTACAGGCCCCCGCCACTACGCCCGGCTAATTTTTTGTATTTTTAGTAGAGACAGGGTTTCACCGTGTTAGCCAGGATGGTCTCGATCTCCTGACCTCGTGATCTGCCCGCCTTGGCCTCCCAAAGTGCTGGGATTACAGGCGTGAGCCACCGTGCCCGGCCTCAGGTATTTCTTTATAGCAATGTGAGAACAAAATAATACAGAGGCCCAAATATCTAAATATAGCTTGGAGACAAATATCCAAACAATATTTTGGATATTTCAATATGTCAATAAATATTATATCTATACCCATTCACCTGCATATTTATATCCACATGTGCATATGTATATAAATATGCAGGTGAATAGGTATGGATGTAATATGTATTAATATATTACAGGTCAAGCACTATGTGAATTTTTCTAGATATACATTCTTATTTAATCATCCTCTAAACTCCACATTGGGCTTTTTATCACACATAGATTTAACAATTCAATTACAAGTACATAGAATAACTTAAGGTTACCATCTGACAAGATTTCCACCAGAAGACATAAAAGAATAGCAGAGAATGAGCGGGAAATTTATCTTCAAATGCGCCCAAAGGTTACTCATCTAGACTTCCCCCAAAACTCCCTTTAAAACCTTGCCCTGGACTGCTCCCGAAAATGTGCCCTTAGCTCAAATGCCAGGAAAACATTTTTTTAAAAAAATCTACTGTCTTTTGTATTTCTAAAAACCCAGGTGTAGAGGGGCGTGGTGGCTCATGCCTGTAATCTCAGCACTTTGGGAGGCTGAGGCAGGCAGATCACTTGAGTCTAGTAGTTGGAGACCAGCCTAGGCAACACGGAAAAACTGTCTCTATAAAAAATACGAAAATTAGCCTGGCGCAGTGGTGGGAGCCTGTAGTCCCAGCTGCTTGGGAGGCTGAGGTGGGAGGATCACTTGAGCCTGGGAGGTCAAGGCTGCAGTAAGCCGAGATCACGCCACTGCACTCCAGCCTGGATGACCCAGTGAGACTGGGGATTTTCAAGGATTAGGGAGTAGTTTGGTTATTGTTAGTTCTGCCGTTTGCTGTGACTTTAGAACAAATCTCTAGAAAAGTACGTTTCCACTGTATCATTACCATCCCCATTTTATAGATAAGGAAACTAGGCTCAGAGATGGTAAGTAATTTGCCCAAGGTCAAACGGTGAGGAAGGTGGAGTCAGGATCTTTAGCAACATCACATGTCTGGAAGCTCAACCAAAGAACTCACTACCTCTGCAGTCTTTTTCTTTATATTGAGCTAAAACTGGTACCTTTCAACTTCCATTCTTGGAATCTAAAAAGCACAAAGCTACTCCATCTTCTACATGATGGCCCTTGAAAGACTTACAAAAAGCTGTCATGTCTCCCTCTCCACCTCACCCCTGAGCCTTTTCTTCTCATCAATAGGCTTAACACTCACACTTCCTTCAATCATTTCTCCTGTGATTTGATTTCAAGAGTCCTCAGCCTCTCAGACACTTTTTGGCAGAGCACAACCCAATTTTTTATTGTTCTTCTTACGGCCTAGAAAGATACAGAATTCTCCATCAGAGTGAGAGAGTGAAGTCTATCATTTGTTGCTTATTTATTTTTAGAGACTGGAGTACAAAAAATATCTCACCTTCCTCTGAAATCCACTATCAAAAACTAGGAGCACAAGTGTGACCAGAAATGACAAATATCCTTCAACCTCCATGTGAAAGAC